>NW_025791802.1:0-234878 GCF_000001405.40 Homo sapiens | reverse complement strand
GAATTCTAGACATACGTGGTCTGCGGACAGGGCAGCGCCCCCAGCCCATGACAAGGGAGTCTTGTTTTCTGGCTTGGTTTGGGGACCTGCAAATGGGAGGCCTGAGGCCCTCTTCAGGCTTTGGCAGCCACAGATACTTCTGAACCCTTCACAGAGAGCAGGCAGGGGCTTCGGTGCCGCGTGGGCAGTACGCAGGTCCCACCGACACTCACCTGGGAGCACGGCGCCTGGCTCTTACCAGCGTCTGGCCTAGAGGAAGCCTTTGAGCGACCTTTGGGCAGGTTTCTGCTTCTTCTGTTTTGCCCCATGGTCAAGTCCCTGTTCCCCAGGCAGGTTTCAGCTGATTGGCAGCAGGCTCCCTGAGTGATGAGCTTGAACCTGTGGTGTTTCTGGGCAGAAGCTTATCTTTTTTGAGAGTGTCCGAAGATGAAGGCATGGCGATGCCCGTCCTCTGGCTTGGGTTAATTCTTCGGTGACACTGGCATTGCTGGGTGGTGATGCCCGTCCTCTGGCTTGGGTTAATTCTTCGGTGACACTGGCGTTGCTGGGTGGCAATGCCCATCCTCTGCCTTGGGTTAATTCTTCGGTGACACTGGCGTTGCTGGGTGGCGATGCCCGTCCTCTGGCTTGGGTTAATTCTTGGATGACGTCGGCGTTGCTGGGAGAATGTGCCGTTCCTGCCCTGCCTCCACCCACCTCGGGAGCAGAAGCCCGGCCTGGACACCCCTCGGCCTGGACACCCCTCGAAGGAGAGGGCGCTTCCTTGAGTAGGTGGGCTCCCCTTGCCCTTCCCTCCCTATCACTCCATACTGGGGTGGGCTGGAGGAGGCCACAGGCCAGCTATTGTAAAAGCTTTTTATTTTAGTAAAATATACAGAAGTTCTTTTTCTGAACTCATTTATGATGATACCAACCTGAATTCTAGAACAGCTTCCTGATTCTTGGACACTGCTGTCAAAATGACATTCAGTCTGCAACAGCCCCAGGAGGCAGGGGCAAGGCCAGGTGCTGGCGGACCTGGGTCCTCCCCGAGCCCTGAAGGTGGAGTAAAGATGTTTGGCCCAAGAAGGGCTGGGGTGCAAAGCCAGGTCAGGGGAAGGCAGAGTCCGCTGGGCCTTGTACGGGGGTACTGGTGCCAGGCTTCTCTGGGACACCCCCACCGAACAGGCACAGGGGCCACGGGGCACAGACCCACTGAAAGTACCGTCTCCACCACGCAGAGGCTTTATTTACAAGTAAACACACTGGTCTCTGTAAACTGGAGTTCCTGAGGCATCGCAGCCTCAGAAGCTGAGAAAAGGTGGCCAGCGTCACAGCATATGTGGGCTTCTGCCTCTGCCCCGGGCAAGGGTGGCAGCGACCTTGGGGACCACCCAGGCGCCCCACCCGCTGCCTCTGTGCTTTTGGTCACTCCAAAAGCCTTTGACACATCAAAATGTAAAAGGGAAGTGCAGCCCCCATAGATTTGAATCGGGCCTGCAGACAGGCGGTTTTCCAGAGAAGTCCGGGGCCTCCGGTTCTAGGGAAGGCATGGGAAGACGTCCCTCCTGTCCCACTGCAGAAACATTCTCAGGGTTTCCAGTTCAGACCATGCCAAGCCTGGTAAAGGGTGAAGATGTTTCCACAGAAAAGTGTGCAGTTACAAGTGGCTTCACTGTGTGTGACCTGCACGTGGTGAGGGTTCAAGGTTAGACCCCAGCCAGTGGGGAGAGCCGGCCTCATGTGCCAAGGAGCCCACAGCTGTGCCAAGAGGGCCTGGGCTGAGGAACAGGACTGCATTAACAGGCACACAGAAGCCCCCACAGTCCCGGGAAGGGGCACGGTGCATCATCGGGGGCTCTGCTCCGTCCACACCACCTTCTTCTGCTCGTCGGCGATGGCCTGGCGGACACAGCTGAGCAGGCCGTCCAGGTCGCTCCAGCCGTCAGGAGCCAGGCTGCTGTATAGACAGGGCGCCCGGTCCAGGTCTCCCTCCTCCTGCCTCGCAGCCTCCAGGAGCTGCTCCTCTGAGGTGCCCAACCGCTGTAGGCCCTTCCTGCACAGGCCAGAGTTGGGGGGGGCGGGCTCAGGGGAGAGCAAGGGCCCAGGAGCCCTGGCTAGGGTAGTGATGACATGCACCCAAACACCCCTAAACACAGGTGGCCTCGCTTTGAGGGGACCTTGTAAAGAAAATAGGCCCCAGGCCCCAGTGGTGGGAGGCAGGTTGTCTAGAACACAGCCTTGCTTCCTGGAGTAGAAAGGGCACAGTAGCAGGACATCTTGGTCTGTCCCCAGGAAACCAAGTAATTTTTTTACTTTTTTTTTTTTTGTCCTTAGCCGACAAGGATTAGATTGTGCTAGCCAAGCACCAGTAAGTGGAGGGTCAGTGGAGCTGAGGCCGGGTGGGGTTCTGGCCTTACAATGGTCCTCTGAGCTGCTCTTGGGGGAGGGAGTGCCAATTTGTTAATTTACAACTTTAAATTTCAATTATAAAATGTCATTTTCCAGTGACTAGGCTACTTTTGCCCACTGTAAAAGGCACCGTCATCCTGGTATCAAGATTCTGGAGAGGCCAGATTTGAAATCAAGTTTGTTTGGTAAGCGTGAAATCAGAGCAGTTGTTGTTGTTGTTGTTTTGTTTTGTTGAGACAGAGTCTCGCTCTGTCACCCAGGCTGGAGTGCAGTGGCGCGATCTTGGCTCACCGCAACTCCACCTCCCAGTTCAAGTAATTATCATGTCTCAGCCTCCCGAGTAGCTGGGATTACAGGCGCCCGCCGCCACACCTGGCTAGTTTTTGTATTTTTAATAGAGACAGGGTTTCTCCATGTTGGCCAGGCTGGTCTCGAACTGCTGACCTCAAGCAATCTGCCCACCCTGGCCTCCCAAAGTGCTGGGATTACAGGCGTGAGCCACCACGCCCGGCCAAAATCAGGGGAATCTCATGAGCAATCAGCGGGGCCCTTGTCCCAAAGTTGTGCGGAAACGGCCCTGTCAGCGCCTCAGCTTCCTGCAAACCGCAGAGCACACTCCAGAGGCACCTGCCGTGGGCTTTGGGGGAGCCCAGGAGCCGCTTCGAAGCCCCTGCCCAGCCCCCAGCGTGCACCTACTTGAGCTTCTTTGCCATCTTCTCGTTGACAGAGACGTGGATGACGATGGGGAAGATGTCCATCCTGTGCAGGGTGCAGACACTGTCCAGCTGGACGTCCAGGAGGGCATGGGTGTTCTTTGTGGGAGGGAGAGAAGAAGTGAGTCAAGATCACAGGCCTCAGAGGAAGCAAAGGGAGCCAACGCCCAGGTCAGAAGGGCCCTCCGGACAGGCTGAGGGCAGGGCAGGAGCTGGGCAGAGCTGAATTTTGTAGAGGAGATGAGGGAATAGAGCTTGCCACTTTCTTCTCTCTTTTTTTTATTTTTATTTTTTATTTTTTTGAGACGGAGTCTCGCTCTGTCGCCCAGGCTGGAGTGCAGTGGCGCGATCTCGGCTCACTGCAAGCTCTGCCTCCCAGGTTCATGCCATTCTCCTGTCTCAGCCTCCCGAGTAGCTGGGACTACAGGCGCCCACCACCACGCCTGGCTAATTTTTTCTGTTTTTAGTAGAGACAGGGTTTCACCGTGTTAGCCAGGATGGTCTTGATCTCCTGACCTCAGGTGATCTGCCCGCCTCGGCCTCCCAAAGTGCTGGGATTAGAGGCGTGAGCCACCGCACCCGGCCCACTTTTAATTTTTTTAGCTTTTAAATGTTTTGTAGAGACGGGTGTCTCACTGTGTTGCTCAGGCTGGTCTCAAATTCCTGGGCTCAAGCAATCTTCCCGCCTAGGCCTCCCAAAGTGTGGGGATTACAGGCGCGAGCCACTGTGCCCGGCTACTTTCTTCTCTTTTTATTTTTTAATTTTTTTTAGAGACGGGTCTCACTGTGTTGCTCAGGCTGGTCTTGAACTCCTGGGCTCAAGCGATCCTCCCACCTCGGGTTCCCAAAGTGCTGGGATGACAGGCGTGAGCCCCAGGCCCAGCTGAGTTTGCCACTTTCTAAATGAGGCTGTGTGCTATGCAGTATTAAGAGTTTCCATCCCTTTGATTTTTCACTGGGAAAATCTAGAAATTGTGAGCTCTGGGGATGAGGTGAACTTGGCATGGAGCTCCGCCAGCCCCTACAGGAGGCACGCAGATGCCAGACTCGGCTTCCCGTGCCTGTGCAGACACAAAGCTGTGGTTCACGGGGAGCTGCTTTTCACGCGTTTGCGCCTTCAAACGTGGAGAGTGTTGTTAGCTCGGATTTATTCATTCTCGAACAAATATCTATTAAACATCCCCCAAGCTGAGGAAACTGAGATTCAAGGAGTTGGGAGACCTCACCCACAGTCACGTGGATCCTAACTGGCTGAGATGAGTTTTGGGCTCCTGCTGGGCTGTTGGGACCCAGAGGTCGGCGACAAGGTCACCCAGGTCTCAGGTCGGTCCCTGTACCTTTATCTCATCCCCCTCCTCTGCATTCCTGAAACCCTTCCCAGGACAGCTCCCCTGCCCACCCCGCCCTTGACCTCACCTTTTCCATGAGGGACTCCACAGCATGGCGGGTCACCCAGCAGCGGCCCCCGGACACCTCTCCCTCCTGGATGATGTCCCCTCTCTGGCTCCAGGCCTCATACTCCTCCTGGCTCAAGTACTCTACAGGTGACATTGGACGGGGCCATCATAGACCAGCTGTGTGGGGGTCTGGGGGAGTCCCATGGTAAACACCCCTGTCCCCGTGAACCCTGCCAGCACTGGGAGAAGCTCTTCTTAGGATGTCCACTTTACAAACCTGACCCTGCACACCCCGCTCTGTGCCCTGCACCTCCATCCTGAACTATCTGGACACAGCAGGTGAGTGTGGGAATGTGCGTGGTGGGGGAGGGAAGGAGGAGGGAGGAAGGGGAGGAAGGAGGGAGGAAGGGGAGGAGGGAGGGAGGGAAGGTGGAAGGGGTAGAGGGATTCCCAGGCAACAGCATACCTGCCAGGCACTTCTTAAACCCTTGGAGGAGGCACAGTTTCTCGCTCAGGATCTTCCCAACCGCCCTGGGCACGAGGAGCACAGGCCGGGGCCGGGCGGGTCGATGGGGCCGCACCAGGGTATAGGGCACCAGGGTGAGGCAGCTCTCGGCCCAGAAGCACGTGCTGGAGCCTGTGGAGGAGAGGATCCTGAGGGTGGGTGAGGCTGCGGCAGCCCCCAGCCAGCCTACCCTGCCCCGGGAGGGACTGGGTCTGCTTTGCTCACTGCAGCAGCCCCAGCACCTAGAATTCCAGGGGCACAGGCTCAGCGGTCACAGGACTCACTCCCAGTTCCATAGCCCCTGGCTGAGCGGCTCCTTTGCACGGGGGTTACACAGCTCTGTGGCTCTCCAGGGACTGCTTTGCAGCCTGCAACTTAATCCTGTTTCCTATAGGCCCAAGGGAGGATGGCGGAAGCCAGGGTTTTCTTCCTTCCAAAGGATCTGGGAGAGTGGCACCCTTCTCCTCAGCCATCCTCCAGGGCACAGGGTCCTAGCCCTCCCTCTGTCCTGTACTCCTCTCCTGAAATTTTTTTTTTTTCCTGAGACAGAGTTTTGCTCTTATTGCCCAGGCTGGAGTGCAATGGCACCATCTCGGCTCACTGCCACCTCTGCCTCCCGGGTTCAGGCGATTCTCCTGCCTCAGCCTCCCGAGTATCTGGGATTACAGGTGTGCGCCACCACACCCAGCCCCATGATTCTTGAAGACCAGATCCTGGCCTAAATGAGTGGCATCCCCCTGCCCCAGCTGACCAACTAGCAGCAGCTCCCAAAGCCCCTCACCCACTTGGAGCCAGTGGCCCCTGTGCCAGCTCACCAGGCCTCACCCTCCATCCTGCTGGGGTCCAACTGGCCCCTGTCAAAGGACAAACGCAGAGGGCTGGCCTTGGCTTTGTCCATACTGACGATGCGGACCAGCTTCTGTGGTCCCCCAGAAGATGGCTAAAGGAGGGACAGAGAAAGGATGAGGAGGAGCTGTTGAAGCCATCAACAGGAATGGGAATTCAGGGGAGATGATTGGCACTAGGGCGACCTGGGAGTGATGCAGAGGCGCAGATGCTCTGAGAACAGCCTGAGGTGTGTCTGCACTTGTGCAAGAGCCTGCAGGCTGGGCAGGGGCTGCAGACCCTGCCCTGGTTTGAAGGGGTGCAGAGGAGAGACAGGTGGGGTTACCCTCCAATCAGCAGCCCACTCTCCACACAGTGCCTCCTGCCACCCTGCCAGCACCGAGCCCCTCTTCCAGCCCACCCCAGTGGGGTCCAGGCCCCTCCCTGGAGCCTCACCTTGCGGGTCACGGTGCACTGCTGAGTCATGTCCTGGATGAGGGCTATGAGCTGCTGCTGAGCCCTGCAGAGACCAGCAGAGGCCCTGACCCAGCTGCCTCCTGCCAGGTGAGCAGGGCAGGGGAGAGCCGAGCAGGGGAGAGTGGGGGAGATGGCCGGGTGGGAGAGAAGGGCCTCCACCTAGAGCTCCACACATCCCTTTGCTGCAGGCTGGAGCGCTCCATCCTGGCGGCCATGCCAGTCTCCAGAGCTTTCAAAAGACTCCAGGGCCTCGGCCCACCCCTGGAGATGCTGATTTACTTGTCCTGGGGCGGGACCCAGGGGGTGCTGTTGAGCAGCCAGCGTACAGGGCCCCACTCCAGGACCTCAATATTCATGGTGGGTCCCTGGCCTGCAGCCTGGAGTCACCGAGAGAGCTGTTAGAAATGCAGAGTGCCAGGCCTCTCCCTGGACCTGCTGGCTCCGATCCCCAGGGGACTTGAGTTTGCAATGAGTGATGGGGGTGCTGAGCTCAACACTCCTGCTTTCTAGCACTGTGCGTTCCGTGCACTTGAAACTTGGAGCCTCCCATAGGCTGATCTAGAACAATGGTTTCCTTTTCTTTTTTTTTTTTTTTGAGACAGAGTCTCACTCTGTCGCCCAGGCTGGAGTGCAATGGCTCAATCCCGGCTCACTGCAACCTCTGCCTCCGGGGTTCAAGTGATTCTCCTGCCTCAGCCTCCTGAGTAGCTGGGATTACAGGCACCTGCCACCACGCCCAGCTAAGTTTTTTGTATTTTTAATAGAGACAGGGTTTCACCAGGTTACCCAGGCTGGTCTCGAACTCCTGACCTCAGATGATCCACCCGCCTCGGCCTCCCAAAGTGTTTGGATTACAGGTGTGAGCCACCATGCTCGGCCTAGAGCAGTGGTTTTCAATGGAGCAAGGCAGGGGGCAATGTCACTCCCCAGGGAGGGTGACCAGCTGTCCCTGCTTGCCCAGGACCGAGGGGCTTCCCTGCAAGTGGGGCTTTCAGTGCTAAGACCAAGACAGTCCTAGGAGAACCAGGGGACCCTTGGCAACCTATAGAGACATTTCTGGTTGTCACAGCTGGGGCATGGGAGTAGTCCCGGCATCCTGGGTAGGGCGGCCAGGGATGCTGCTCTATATCCTGCAGTGCCCAGGACGGCCCCACCACAGACGGGGATCCAGCCCCAAACGTCCATGGTACCAAAGCTAAGAAACCCAGAGCTAAGAAACCCAGATCTAGAATGTTCTAGAATGAACATTTCATTTGCAATATATAAAGCATCCATCACAAAGAAACAACATCTTCAGCAGTGATCTTGGCAGGCTTCCCTCCTTAGGGGGGTCTCACCACGCCCACCCTCTATTGCTGGGCAGGAGGAGGAAGCCGAGGCAGGCTGGGTGCCATTTCCCTGTGGGCCTCTCTGGGGACGCACCGAGCTCGAGGCAGCTGCTCACCTGGAGTAGTTGGGGATGGTGCCGTGCGCGGCAGTATCCTTCATGGTGTAAGAGTTCACGCGGTGGGCATGCCAGCAGCCGCAGCCCTGGAACATGGTGTCGGTGACGTGCAGGACCTCGTTGCAATGCACCTGCAGCTCCCCTTTGGCCCTGCCCTCCATGGCCAGGTTGACCCGGATGTAGAATGAGTCCCCCGAGGTCGCCACTTTGGCCTCCAGGTCCTGGAGTAGCCTCTTATAACCTGATAAAAGGGGACATGAGCCACAGATGAGCCACAGATACGAGCCTCTGCGAGGAAGGTTGCAGAAAATTAAAGTAGGAGAGAAGGAAGGACCCTCCCAGTCTCAGAAGCTGCTCTGGCACTGGAGTCAGTGGGTGGGAGGTTTCCAGCTGGCTTGGGGGCCTCCTGGGGACCTGGGGCACAGCCTGGCTGATCCTCTCTTGGCTCTGGGGGTCCCTGGCTGCTGGGCGTGCAGAAGAACCACCAGGGACTTAAGGGTCATGGAGTCTGGCCAGGCAGCTGTGCACACGAGAGGAGTGGTATGTGTACCGTCCGTGTTGACCTTCACAGACAGGCAGCAGAAGCCGTCCACCCTCCTGAGAAGCCCCACGGCCTCCTCCAGGGTCGTGTCCTCCAGGACTGCCTTGAACAAGGGCTCTGAGGCTTCGTAATCAACCTGAGGGCAAGTCGAGAAGGTCAGTCTCTTTCCCCCGGGACTCTGAATCCAGCCAGAAGACAGAAGGCGCTGAGGGCACTGAGGCGAGGCGCGGGCCAGCCCTGCCGTAGGACCACTGCCTGCACGCCTTGGTCAAAACAAAGCCACACACCAGAGCCTCTGTGGGGCCTTCACACCTCTAGTGATGCGTGCTACACATAGTGCTGGCCAGAGAGTCAACTGCCAACCCTTCCCCAGTCGAGATCGGGGGTTCTTTGTGATAAGCACTTTCCTGTCTTGAAAAAGAAAAGAAAAGAAAAGAAAGAACCTCGGTTCTAGAACATTCAAGAGCATTCTAGATAGAGGTTTCTTAGCCTTGGGATCATTCTGTGCTGCTGCGGGCTATACCGGGCCCTACAGGATGCTGAGTGGCATCCCTGGCCTTCACCTACCCGATGCCCTGGCTCTCCACCCACAGCCTTCCCCACTGTGAAGGCCCACCCCCCAGGGCTTCCACCATCCACTTCATTTCTTCTCAATATTGTTCTAAGCTTAGGAGAGTAGATATTTTTACAATAAAAATTAAGATGTGTTTTAACACCATTAGAATCTAATTGGCCCCCTTAGGATATCGGGACTATCTCCCTGAACATCGTCAAGGGGCTCTGTTGCTTGAACTACCTCAGAGCTGATAATTGGGAACCTTAAGAGCAGGGTTCCCCAACCCCTGGGCCACATACTGGTACTGGTCCATGGTCCATCAGGACCCGGGTCACACAGCAGGAGGGGCGTGGTGGGCAAGTGAGCATTACGGCCTCAGCTCCACCTCCTGTCAGCTCAGCACAGCAGTAGATTCTCAGAGGAGCATGAGCCCTATCGTGAACTGTGCAAGTGAGGGATCTAGGTTTCACGCTCCTTATGAGAATCTAATTCCTGATGATCTGTTACCGTCTCCCATCACCCCCAGATGGGACCGTCTAGTTGCAGGAAAACAAGCTCAGGGCTCCCACTGATTCTGAATTATGGTTCAGTGTATGATTCTTTCATTACATATTACAGTGTAATAATAATAGAAATAAAGTGTACAATCAATGTAACGTGCTTGAATCATCCCAAAACCATCCCCCACAACCCGGTCTGTGGAAAAGTTGTCTTCCATGAAGCCGGTCTCTGGTGCCAAAAAGGTTGGGGACTGCTGCTTAAGAGGACAACTAGAAATGTAAAGAAGGGCTGGGCATGGTGGCTGATGCCTGTAATCCCAGCACTTTAGGAGGCTGAGGTGGGTGGATCACTTGAGGTCAGGAGTTCGAGATCAGCCTGGCCAACATGGTGAAGCCCTGTCTCTACTAAAAATACAAAAGTTAGCCGGGTGTGGTGGCGGGCACCTGTAATCCCAGCTACATGGGAGGCTGAGGCAAGAGAATCGCTTGAACCCAGGGGGTGGAGGTTGCAGTGGGCCAAGATCGAGCCACTGCACTCCAGCCTGGGCGACAGAGCAAGACTCTGTCTCAAAAAAAAAAAAAAAAAAAAAAAAATGACATGTAAAGAAAGGCTTCCCGGGTCATGTGGAGGACGTGAAGGACGCTTGAATTAGGTGCTCCATGTGCTATCATTGGAGCCCTAGGGGAGCTCAGCATTTGGACAGCCTGTTCCAAGGGGGCAGTGAGGGGTGCATGGAACACTCCTGCCTGAGGGGTTCAGACGCATCCTCTCCCCGCCTCTGTGCTCACCTTCCCACCCCAGAGCCCCCATCCCCAGTCCCCTCCTGGAGGCCGCAGGGTGAGCCTCTGGAATGAGGTGAAGCCCATCTTGCACATTTCTTGGTTTAAAATTTTTTTCATATTAAGAAAGCACTGTGCTTTCCTTTTTCTTTTCTTTTTTTCTTTTTTGAGACCGAGTCTCACTCTGTCACCCAGGCTGGAGTGCAGTGGCACCATCTCAGCTCACTGCAACCTCCGCCTCCCAGGTTCAAGTGATTCTCCTGCCTCAGCCTCCTGAGTAGCTGGGATTATAGATACCAGCTATTTTTTTTTTTTTTTTGTATTTTTAGTAGAAACGGGGTTTCACCATGTTGTCCAGGCTGGTCTCAAACTCCTAACCTCAGGTGATCTGCCTGCTCCAGCCTCCCAAAGTGCTGGGATTACAGGCATAAGCCACCGTGCCTGGCCTTTTTTTTTCTTTTCTTTTTTTTTTTTTTTTTTTTGAGACAAGGCTTTGCTCTGTCACCCAGGCTCGAGTGCAGTGGTGCAATCTTAGCTCATTGCAGCCTCAATCTCCTGGGCTCAGGCATCTGAGTAGCTAGGACTACAGGCATGTACCACTGTGCCCAGAAGTTTTTTTTTTTCCTAAAGTTTAATAATTCTGCTTTTAGGCCACATCAAAGTCACCCCCTGACCATGCAGGCGCCCACCACCACACCTGGCTAATTTTTGCATTTTTAGTAGAGACGGGGTTTCGCCGTGTTGGCCAGGCTGGTCTTGAACTTCTGACCTCAAGTGATCTGCCTGCCTCAGCCTTCTGCTGGGATTACAGGCGTGAGCCACCACACCTGGCCAGGTTGTATATTTGTGTCCATTTATCTTCTCAGCAGTTTTGTGCGTTTCGTAACAACAACAAAAAAAAGTTTTAGAAAATGTCCCCAAATTAGCCGGGCACGGTAGCGCATGCTTGTGGTCTGGTCCCAGCTACTTAAGAGGCTGAGGTGGGAGGATCAATCGAGCCTGGGGAGGTCGAGGCTGCAGTGAGCTGTGATCGCACCGCAGCACTCTAGCCTGGGTGACAGAGTGAGACCCTGTTTCAAAACAACAAACAAAAAAAAAGAAAGAAAAGAAATGCCCCAGTGGTTAAAATAGTGAATTTTATGTCACGTGTATTTTACTGTACACACCCAAAGTGACCACCCAGAGCAGCCCTGTCAAGGGGCCTCATGCAAAGACCCCTGGTCAGAAGCGCCGCATGGCAGCAGCACCACGGGTGACATGCTGGGTTCTGCACGGCACGACTCTCATCTATAAATGAGCAGAACGCTTTACGTCAGCCCAGGAAAGAGCAGAGGCCCAGCCCAGAGTGGATCTGCATCGTCTGGGGGAGGTGAAGTCTGCCTGGGTCACCCCACCCGCTGCCACTGTCCCCATGAGGAGCCCGGGGGACAGGAGGGGCCTCGCACGGCTCACCATCACAATCTGGGTGCCCGGGCGCAAGGCCATCTGGTCCGCCGCCGAGCCCGGGGTGACCCGGTGGATGAAGATGCCCGTGAGGTTCCCGCCGATGACGCTGATCTGCTCCAGCAATGCATCCCCCTGGAACGCCAGCATGGTGACCTGGCTCAGGATCCTGCGGGCTGGCCTCCGCCGCATGAGGACGCCGCTGCAGGCCGGGAGACGACCGGCTTGTGCACTGCCCAGAGCAGGAGAGCCGGCAAGGCCACCTCCCCATTGCTTCCCTCTGGCCCCAGTGTTCTGGAATTCTCCTCCCCCTCCATGGCCCCATGTGCTTGGAAAGGCTGTTGCCTCCCATTGGTAATAGGACACTCACCCTCTGCTCTGCCACTCCCTGGCCCTGGTTCCCCAGCCAGCCTCGGAGGATTCCCACCTGCTGCTTACCTCTCCGAGACATCAAGCCTTCCAGGGGAGACTGGCTGCAGGCTGCTTTCCAGCTGCGGAAGGTCTGGGAGGAAGCCAAGAGCTCACAGATCTTGGTCACCCCACTGCTGATGGGGCGTCCTGTAACCTCCTGTAACCTCAGCCCCTTCTTCACAGATCTTGGTCACCCCACTGCTGATGGGGCGTCCTGTAACCTCCTGTAACCTCAGCCCCTTCTCCCTCAGCCTCAGGCCCCACTGCCTGTTCCATCCTTTGTGCTGAGGCTGAACTTTCTCTTCCTCCACCCCTTCCTCAATGCTTGGGACCTTGATTTCATCTTTCCTAAAATCACTGTAACTAGTGAGGAGCTGCAACTGGGAGGGTCTGACCACCACATGCTATTTTGTGATATTTGAATGAGTTGCCAACATTTGAAAGACAGGGAGGTTTCACCTAAAATCTGGATTTCTGGCTTCACTTGAAAAAATATCTGCTGTAACCCTGGGGCTGCATTTCCGCACTGACCTGTATTTCTGCATGGACCTGCATTTCAGGACTGGCCTGCATTACTGCATTGACCTCCATGTCTGCGTGGGCCTGCACTGCACTGGCCTGTCTTTCTTTCTTTCTTTCTTTCTTTTTTTTTTTTTTGAGACAGAGTCTCACTCTGTCGCCCAGGCTGGAGTACAGTGCCGTGATCTCAGCTCACTGCAACCTCCGCCTCCCGGGTTCAAGCAATTCTTCTGCCTCAGCCTCCTGAGTAGCTGGGACTAGAGGCATGTGCCACCACGCCCAGATAATTTTTGTATTTTTAGTAGATACGGGAGTTCACCATGTTGACCAGGCTGGTCTCGAACTCCTGACCTCATGATCCACCCACTTTGGCCTCCCAAAGTGCTGGGATTACAGGCATGAGCCACCACACCCGGCCCTGGCCTGCCTTTCTACATGGATCTGTATTTCTTTTGTTGTTGTTGTTATTGTTGTTGAGACTGAGTCTCGCTCTGTCGCCAGGCTGGAGTGCAGTGGTGCGATCTTGGCTCACTGCAACCTCCACCTCCCAGGTTCAAGTGATTCTCCTGCCTCAGCCTCCTGACTAACTGGGACTACAGGTGTGTGCCACCATGCCCAGCTGACTTTTGTATTTTTAGTAGAGACGAGGTTTCACCATGTTGGCCAAGATGGTCTCGATCTCTTGAGCTCATGATCCGCCCACCTTGACCTCCCAAACATGGACCTGCATTTCTACCCAGACCTGCACTACTGTACTACACGGCATTTCCACACTGGCCTGCATTTCCACACTGGCCTGCATTTCCACACAGGCCTGCATTTCTGTGTGGCCGCAATCACTGGCACTGGCCAGCAGCTGCCTGCTCCTTACCCCAGACTCCTCTGCTTCCCAGCTGGTGGTGGCAGGTCTCTGAGTTGTCAATCCTAGGACTAGAGGCTCCCCAGGGTCTCCCAAGCTCTAGCATTTTACTGTACAGCCTGTGAGCCCCCGAACCAGGGAGCAGCCTGCCAGGGTCGACGGCTGCAAGTCTCACTCTGTGAACCACACAGCAGAGCCAGGGCCAGCAGAGACCTGAGAGTTCCCTAGGCCTGGCTCACAGGCAAAAACCCATTGGGATCACATTCAAAGCCAATGAAATGAGCTGTGTACTCTGGATGTATTTGAGGTCAATTCCACTAAAAGTATATGCAACCAGGGCATTACGCAGAATCCTCACAGAGGAAAAATAAAGAGGAATAAGCCCCTCTTCTCATCTCACATCTAATTTAGATATGCCTTGGGTGGTCTCTCTCGATTTATCACGATTATAAATAAAAACGTGTATGAGTCCCCAAAGATGAAGATTTCTGATTCTGCGACCCACAGAAGGCACAGGGGCAGCGCAGGGCACTTGCGCCCCCTGGTGGCCATGGGGTGAATTCCAAATGGGGAGCAAAGCACCTACTGTGTGCAAGGCCCAAGGCTGGGAGCCGGTCGCGCCGAGGTGGAAAGGATTAAGGCACCCACCCATGACGGGCCCATGGACTTGGGAAGCAGAGAGGGCCGGTCCAATCACAAACAGAAATGAGCTACAGGAGAAGCGCGAGGCCTCAGGGCCAGCGCCTGAGAGGAGAGATGCTCCCCGCAGGTAGATGTCACGCTGTGCCTCGCCTCAGCCTGGCACCACTAAGCCACCCTGCCTGCTGCCTTCTGAAACCACTGGGAAGCCCAAGCGTTACAGATCAGAGCAGGGGGCTGGGTGCTGAGCAGGGCGTGGATCAGACACAACTCCCCTGGCTCTAGGGAAAAACACAAGGACACCAGCAGACAGAGCGCAGCCGGCCTTTGGCTTACGCTGGCTGGCAGGCGGGACTTTCCCAAAGTGCAAGGTCGAGGCCAAGGTCAAGGCCCAGGGCAGAAGTTGAGCTCTGCTTCTATCTGCCCTTTCCCTGGAGAGAGGCCCCGGCTTTCTCATCAGCTCCCTGCTCTGCCCAGGGGAGGTGGACTGCTGTGGAGGTTCAGGGTTGGGCGTGCTCACCTGCCGTGTCTAGGAGCTCATAATCCAGGTGTGGGTCGCCTGCCTTAGCTCCCGGCAGGGCTCCCGGGTCTCCCTCCGGGATCTCCAGGCAGCTGCTGCAAAGCATAAGCAGCAGCAGGCTCAAACTGCATCACCTGCTCCCTCTGAGTCCCCACGCCCCAAGCACTGGCCCCCAGCACCTGCCAGCTCTGGGGCTTCGAGGGCAGGAGCTGCTGCCTGCAATACCCAGATGCCCTGAGGTCTAGGTTGGTGTCTCTGGTGAGTTGCCAGGAAGGACCCCAGTGCCACCCCAGTGCCAGGAAGGACCCCAGTGCTCTACCTGAAAGACCAGGGTTCTTCCCCGAAGTCCTCGGCCACCCGCTTGTACAGGGACTGCTGGCTGGGGGGCGCGGGGCTGCTGGAGCGGAAGCTGTCCACCAGCTCGCGGCTGGACGTGGCACTCAGGTCCGACAAGAGCTGAGACTGGAGGAGGGAGGGCAGAAGTCAGTGGGGCACGCACGAGGACACCCTGAGACTCCTCCCTTGCTCCCCCACGGTGTAGAGAGAGCCACAGTGAGAACTGACTGGAGAGGAGGCAGGAGGGGAAAGAAGGACACACATGGGGTCACATGCGCTGAGCACCTGCTGTATGCCAGACACTGGGGTCACATGCAATTAGCACACAGCACTGACACATGCTGTATGTCAGGCTCTATTAGCTGCTTGGCTTAGTTCTCACGATAAATCTGTAAGGTGGCACTGCTGTCCCATTTTACATGTAAAGTGATATAGTTTGGCCGTGTGTTCCCACTCAAATCTCGCCTTGAATTGTAATAATCCCCACATGTCAAAGGTGGGACCAGGTGGAGATAACTGAATCATGGGGTCCGTTTCCCCCATGCTGTTCTCGTGAGAGTGACTGAGTTCTCACAAGATCTGATGGTTTTATAAAGGGCTTCCCCCTTTGCTGAGCACTCATTCTCTCTCCTGCCGCTCTGCGAAGAGGTGCCTTCTGCCATGATTGTAAGTTTCCTGAGGCCTCCCCAGCCATGCTGAACTGTGAACTGTGAGTCAATTAAACTTCTTTCTTTGTAAATTACCCAGTCTCAGGTATGTGGGTATCACCAGCATGAGAACGAACTAATGCACAAAGCAACTGAGGCCCAGAGAGGTTGAGTTAGTGACTAGGGAGGGGAGGCCGCACTCAGAGTGCACACTGACAAATGTGACGTGCGAGGCGCTGAGGCCACCAGATGTGTGGGGTAGGTCTGAATCCCGCCCCTTCTTTCACTAATAAGTATTCCTGGAGTAGCTACTATGTGCCAGGTCCTTTGACAGTGTCAGATGTACATCTGAGGACAGGGACTGTCCTTGGGGTGGGGGAACCAACGGGCACCCGTGGACCAGTGAGGTGGAGTGAGGCATTCCAGGGCTGTGGGCGACATGGGCAGGGCAGGGAGGCCAGGGCGGACTCTCTGGAGGAAGTGGCATGGACAGAGGAGTGAGGTGGAGTGTGTGTGTGTTGGGGGCAGGGGGCACATTCCAGACAGAGAGAGCAACAGAGCAGTGGCACGCAGAGAGCCCATGAAGTAGGAGGCAGTCCCCCTAGAGCAGCCAGATTAGAAAGCCGGGGCAGGAGGAGAGTGGCTGGAGGGCAGCTGATCGGTCAGTTGCCCACGAGGCTGGTGAATGAGGATGGTGTGTTCTGGCGAGCCAGTTCTGAGCACCTGAGGTCCCTTCCCTCCCTGACCCAATCCACCCCTGGGGAAGGGAAACACGGCTGGCCTCTGTCCTGTGGGGAATGGGGGCACAGAGGGCGTTAAGGCAGATGCGAGAGTCGATTCAGTTGAAGGTTTGGACTGTCCTGGCCCAGGGAGGCCCAGCACCGACTGTGAAATCTTCCCCGTGTGTGCACTCAGTGTTCTGGGGAAGATCCCGGCCTCCCCCAGCTCTCTGAGTGGCCAGGGGGCAGGTGAGCCTGGGCCTGCTGCTCTTGGGCCACTGATGGGATGGTCCAGGAAGGAAACACCAGGTCCACCCCAAGGCATGGCAAAGGGATGTCAGCCTCGCCCGCCTCTCACCCTCCCTCCCTCCCGGCTCCCGGCATCCTGTGGCACTGGGGCTTTGACCCCCAGCATCCTCATGCCACATGCCCACTATGGTGGGACCACCTCTTTACTTTGCCAAAGGGTGAGGACAGATGCCAGGGTCCTGAGGCTCCAGAAACCACAGTGAGGCCGGCATCCCAGGGACCATGTGTGCCAGGTTGAATCGGGTCCCCTGGAAACTCATGTCTGGGGACTGTCTGTGCCAGGTCGAATCGGGTCCCCTGGAAACTCATGTCTGGGGACTGTCTGTGCCAGGTCGAATTGGGTCCCCTGGAAACTCATGTCTGGGGACTGTCTGTGCCAGGTTGAATCCCCTGGAAACTCATGTCTGGGGACTGTCTGTGCCAGGTTGAATCGGTTCCCCTGGAAACTCATGTCCACCCTGCAAGCTGTGAATGTGACCTTCTTTGGGAATAGGATTTCCAGACGGGTACCCTGTCAGCACTTTGACTTTGGATGTCTGGGCTCCAGGACTGTGACAGAATCAACCTCTGATGTTTAAAACTCTCGCAATAGGGCCAGGTGCGGTGGCTCATGCCTGTAATCCCAGCACTTTGGGAGGCTGAGGCTGGCAGATCATTTGAGGTCAGGAGTTCAAGACCAGCCTGGCCAACATGTTGAAACCCTCTCTACTAAAAACACAAAAATTAGCTGGGCATGGTGGCAGGTGTCTGTAATGCAGCTACTTGGGTGGCTGAGGCAAGAGAATCGCTTGAACCTGGGAGGTGGAGGTTGCAGTGAGCCGAAATCACATCACTGCACTCCAGCCTGGGTGACAGAGGAGACTCTGTCTCAAAAAATAAAATAAAATAAAACTCTCACAATCGTACCAACCTCTTCCCTGTGGGGACAGGGTGGAAGGAGGCTCACTTTCGTCCTGACAGAGAGGCCCCTGGGCTGGCCCAGAGGGTCAAGGCAGTGAGGGAGGCGGGAGGAGCGGCCGTACCTCTGTGGAGCTGACGAGGCTGCAGTCGCTGTCGTCTCTGGGGCAGATGGCATGCATCCGCACCAGCCGCTGCTTCTCCCGTGGACAGGGCTCCCTGGTCCTGGCTTCCTGCTTGAGCTGCCAAAGACAGGCCAGACAGGCTGGTTAATTCGGGAAAGGTTCCGCTTTGAGGCCCGTGGAGTTTCTACCAGGTCAGCACCACCCATTTCACCCTCCCCAGCAGTTTCCTCTCGTCAGCTTCCAGGGAAAACAATTGTGTCCCTGTCCTCCGAGCCCATCACAGGATCACAGGCGCTGCCAATCAAAGAGACTGAAAGAAACCAGCTGGACACACAGCATTTCATTTCTTTTAGAATATGTGTGATTTACTAGTTTTACGAATAATGTATAATACACACACATACATACACACACAGAAAATTGGAGGAAGGCAAGTAGAACCAGTTAGAGAAGAAAATAAAATCCACCCGTCATCTCACACCCAGAATGAGCACAGCCTGCGTGTTGGTGCCTGCCCCGGGAGGGTTTTTCTCTGCGTGCACACGTGTGTTTCCACCGTCGGTGTGGGATGCTTGCCATGCAGGGGGTAAGGAAGGAAGGGCCGGGTGGGTTCCGCATGCGGAGGGAGGAGCTCCTTTGCCTCCCCGGGGGCCTGGAGCTGGAGCTGCCTGCCAGCCCAGAATGAGAGGCTTTCTAAGAATTCTGGCTTTCTGGGAACACGCTCCCTCCGTTACATGTAGGTCTGTCTTTCCACTCTTGGACGCTGGGCTTTTAAGCATTTCAGGAACACAGCATCTACACTGCAAATGGCTGCCTGTGGACAGCTTCAAACGCCACCTGCCACATCCATCACCACACTCCACAGGTTCCAGAACCTTCCGCTAAGCTCCCCATTCGATGATATGGAGGCAGACTCTACTTGTCTACTGGGCACCTTCGAGGTTTCACGGCACCATCCACGCGTGGGAGCCAGTGTGTCGCTCATCACAGTGACACTGGGCCGTCTCTGCAGGTGCCGCGTGTGGCCCAGCCTGGGACCCTGCCTGTCCTCCCAGTGCCTCCATGGGCCACCCTGGAGCCCAGCTCTGTCCCACTGTCACCGCAGCCCCTGCCTGGCCTCCAGCTCGGGTCAGCCGGGAACACTCACCACACCCGGAGGCTCTGCCTGCAGCTGGCGAAGCTGTGTGCGCAGCTCGCAGACCTGGTCCGTCAGCTCGAACACCTGCCTGCGGAGGGAGTCCTTCTCCACCAGGCTCTGGGAAATCTCCCTCTGAGCACTGTCCCTCGCGGAGTACGCCTGTGGGCCACGACGGGAGTAAGGAGGCCGCGCCATCACCACCGGGGAGCCTCAGCTAGAGAAGGAGAGCCCTGTTTCTAGCCTGCGCTCATCTGACATCCACTAAATGGCCCACGCTGAGCTGTGCAAACTTAAGATTCATTTCAATTCGTGTTCACATGTGCAGTGTTGATAAAACCCAGTATTTGGGGTGTACTTTCTCAGTGTCATGTACCAGGAATAAGAGCAAGAAGGATGATAGAGACAGCATGTGGACAACAGGCCTGGAGGAGTGAAGAAACTTCGTGTGGACCGAGGAAAGAGACCCTGAAATCTGGGACCAGCTGCCATCAAGGGCAGGGAGCCACGAGACTGTCCCCGGAACCAGCCCTCACCTGGGGAAGCAAGCATGGGGTGGCGGGGTGGGCCCGGCCTCTCAGGTACCTGGTCTCGCTCCTTCTGCAGCTCGCACACCTGGGCCTGCAGCGCATTCACCTTCTCCCTGTAGAGTTGGCAGGCCATCTTACTCTTCTGGAACTGCAGCAGGGTCTGTTCCTTCTCTTCCCAGTACTGGACAGAGTGGGACACATGGACCGTGAAGCTCAGCAGCTCTGAGGGTCTGGCCTTAGAAGGGGGTCGGGGAACCCAGGGGTGGAGGGAGGGAGACAGTTCTAGGGATGAAATAAGGTCAATTCTCACTCGTCTCTCTCTCTCTTTTTTTTTTTTTTTTTGAGACAGAGACTCGCTGCGATGCCAAGGCTGGAGTGCAATGGCGCAATCTCGGCTCGCTGCAACCTCTGCTTCCCGGGTTCAAGCGATTCTCGTGCCTCAGTCTCCCTAGTAGCTGGGATTACAGGCACACACCACCAGGCCCAGCTAATTTTTGTATTTTTAGTAGAGACAGGGTTTCACTATATTGGCCAGGCTGGTCTGGAACTCCTGACCTCAAGTGATCCGCCTGCCTCGGCCTTCCAAAGTGCTGACTACATGCGTGGGCCACCGCGCCCGGCCTCGCTCGTCTCTTAAGTGCTAGATTTCGAGGTGCATCTAGAAAGTTGCTTAGGCTGATTACGTCTGAATTAAAACAATGAGGGGATGTTGCATGCATAGTTGTGTTTTGCGTTTTTAATGTCCCAGAAAAACAATTTTCCCTCCCTGTCCTCTTCTCTTCTACCGTCTCCTTTCCTCCCCGTTCCCTCCTCACCTAAGTCCCTGGCTCTCCCCGGGGCCTGGGCCCTGAAATCCCCTGCGTTTGAATCACGCATCTGCCTGACCATGGTCTTAGCTGTGGGGTGCGAGTCGGTGCTTAGGGTGGCGCTGACAAAGGGACAGATGAACAGGCCGACAGATTCGTTCAGCAAAATTATGTGAGCTCGGCGTGGATGAAGGAATCTGGCTTCCCCACAGACCTGTCCGCACCCCTGAGACAAGCCCCAGGAGAGTCACAAGGGAGGAAGGGCTCACACGGCACCTGCTCTCGCTGCCTCTCGGCAGCCACGGCCCGCTCCCGCAGCGAGTGGATGCGCTCCACCAGCTCCTGTCGGCTCCCCCGCGCCTCGTCCAGGCTCTGCTCCAGAATGTCCTTCTCCGCCTGGGGCAGAGAGAGGTCAGCCTGGGGTGCTGGCTTCCCCAGAGGCCTGCCCTAGGCAAGCAGAATCCCGAGAAGATGGCGGCAACTGCACGGTCAGGTGTGTGGACGGATGCAGTCTTGCCACTCTACACCGGGCAGGAGAGAAGCCACGGAAAAGCCACCCATCATGCCTGGGAAAAGTGCAGATTCATGGCCAAGGAGAAGGAACACAGGAAGCTGGCAACCTCTGAGGACACCAGTTCCTCCCTTTACCAGGTCAGCCTTCTCCTTCAACAGATCTACCGGCAGTTTCACAGCGAGGGAGAAACCAGCAGACAGGTCATTCCCCTCTGACACTCACTTCCCAGGAAGGAGCTTATAAACAGAGACACAATCCGGGCTGCAAGATGGCCAGTGCCCTGGGCCCAGTGAATGCTTATGGAAGGAATATCTCAATAAATACCAATCTACTGAGAGGGGCCGAGGAGGAGACGCCAAGGGTCGTTGCTCACTCACTGCTCCACTTCAGAGCCCCCCTCTCTCCAGTGCACCTGAGGCCCAGAGGGCGGAGTCTTTCCAGGCAGAAAGGTTTCTTTCCCCCATCCTTAACGCGAATCCCATGCTTTACAATTGGCCAAGTCCACTCCAGAACACAGTCGCTGCAGTAAACCCACCAAGTCGGGCATTGTGATGCACCTCCAGCGGCTTTTATTTTTGTTTGTTTGAGACAGGGTCTCCCTCTGTCGCCAGGCTGGAGTGCAGTGGCGTGATCTCAGCTCCCTGCAGCCTGAAACTCCCAGGGTCAAGCGATCCTCCCACCTCAGCCTCCCGAATAGCTGGGACCACAGGTGTGCACCACCATGCCCGGCTACTTTTTGTATTTTTTGTAGAGATGGGGTCTCGCCATGTTGCCCAGGCTGGTCTTGAACTCCTGAGCTCAAGCTATCTTGCCCATCTTGGCCTCCCAAGTGCTGGGATTACAGGAATGAGCCACTGTGCCCAGTTCCAGCTTTTAATTCTGTTCCAGCAGCTTTTAATTCTGCCAATTTTGGGGTCTGGGGAACAGCAGGAAGGAAGGAGGTAAAGAGAAAGTGGGTGAGATGAGTCACTAAATTTCATCTCTTGTTCTTAGCCTCACCTTAACTAAACCACCTGTCAGAAACCCCACAGCCTGAGGGCCAAGCCCCCAAGGCAGGAGGCCGCTCTCTGCTGCGGGGACCGGAACCTACCAGGCTGAAAGTCAGCGAGCGCAGTTTCTCATTCTCCTCCTTCAGGCGGTTCAGCTCCTCATCCCCGGACTCCTGGTCGCTGGCTGTCCTCAGGGACTGCTCTTGCAATTCCAGCTCACAGGAGGAAACCATGTTGGCTCGCTGCAGCTCCTGCTTCAGTAGATACAGCTGTGCGGTGGGGAGGCGACAGGAAGGGCGATGGAAACAGCTTCTCCCCTGATCAGGAGCTGGGGGCATTTCTCACCCTTCCTCCTAATGATGCTTTTAGCACTCAGGGGGCTTCCTGCCTCGAGACTGAAAAACCCACGAAAGGGTTCACCTAATGAATAGTCCCAAATATTCAACTGGGGCTGGGAGGACAGAGGCCTTTCAGCTCTGTCTTATAGATGAGGCACCGCGGTTGAACTCCATCCAGGGTTAGGGTCCCAGGAATAGACCAAGAGGCCTTGATAACCAACTCCTGGATCTCTACAGCTGAGCAGCCGGCAGTGATGGCCAGCATGCTCCCTGGCTTCCCTGCTTGTCCATGTTCTGCTAAATACATCAAGAAAGGGAATTTGGAGTCATGGAAATCAGTAAGAAGTAAGAGAGAGGAAAGTCAGGTCGGAGGGGTAGACGTGCCTGGGAACGCGGGACCGGGGCTGTTCAGACAGCAAAGCTCCTGTGTTGACTTGCAGTCTGTGTGCAGGGCCCTGGCCTTCCAGGGACTATCCCACCAGGTCCTGCTGGCCTCCTTCCTCTGGACAGCAGCCCAAGAGAAACTTGGAGCTCGAGCCACGGGCCCGCCCTCTTCCCGTCCTGGGTGTGGCAGCCCTGGGGAGGCAGGACTTTCCCCGTGAGGCAAGCCCGGGAAGTCTGCACGTCGGGGTGGGTGCCGGTGCTCACCCCTGGGCTGTGGCCAAGAAGGACCTTTCCACCTGGACTCTCCCCTCCCGACACCCGGTTAGCACATTGTCAATTCGCAAGTTCCCAGCTCCTGCAATGGTCCAGCTGGGCTGGGCATGTCACCGTCCACAGATTCAAAAAGTAAAATCAAGTCAGAGCTGGAAGGGAACCGGAAAACATGAGACTGAAAGTGAACCAGAACAAATGAACCGAATTCTATTTCCAACAGACGCCATAACCACAACGAAGAGAGAGACAGACAGACAAGGACAGAGAGAACGAAGATACAGTGACTCACAAACACAGTGTTTGATTACAAACCCTCAGCCTTGAGCAAGATTGGCTGGCGGGGGGAGGTGAATTACAAACAAGTCCGGCACCCGTCTTAGCGGGGCTGTTAATGGCAGTGGTATGGGCAGAGTGATTCTGAAACGATTTGAGATGTGCTGCAGGACTGAGCACGGGTCTGAAGGTGCTGGTGACGCTGGGAGCAGCGTTCCCCCTGGGGAAGGAGCACACACGTACGGAACAGGAGAAGGCAAGAAAAAGCCGCAGGGCATGGGTTGGAATTAGAGGTATGGGTGAGAACCCATGATTTCTGAAGTATGCACGTGAACTATATGTATACTTCCATGCATATGAGTATGTGTGTGTACACAGACAAGTATGTGTGTGCATATGTGTATGTATATGTCCATACATGTGTGTGTGTTTCCTAGCTCTGTCCCCTGAAAGGGCTGAGAAGCAAAGACACCCTAGTAGTGATGGACACACCTACGCCCACATCTTGTTCTCTAAAAGGAGGCAGGAGGCCGGGCGTGGTGGCTCATGCCTGTAATCCCAGCACTTTGGGAGACCGAGGTGGGCGGATCACCTGAGGTCAGGAGTTTGAGACCAGCCTGGCCAACATGGCAAAACCCCGTCTCTACTAAAAATACGAAAAATTAGCCAGGTGTGGTGGTGCGCGCCTATAATCCCAGCTGCTCGGGAGGCTGAGGCAGGAGAATTGCTTGAACCCGGGAGATGGAGATTGCAGTGGGCTGAGATGGCGCCACTGCACTCCAGCTTGGGAAGCGAGTGAGACTCTGTCTCAAAAAAACAAACCAAAAAATAAAAATAAAAAAAGGAAGTGGGGCCCTCAGAGAATGGGCTGAGCCTGGATTTGGGGTAGGCCGGGTACAAGATGACCCTGGAATATCTTGTGAGGCCAGAAAAGCAGTTGGTTCTCCAAAAACAAGGGACCCGTTTTAGGACACGGAGCTGGTTGAAGGGTTCCATTGGTCACATCTGGGTCCATTTGAGACCAAAATCATTAAGGACAGTGAGAGGTCAGACCCCTGCAGAGTAGGAACCCATGAACTGCGCCAAGAACAGAGTCAGCCACGGGAGAAGGGAAGGCAGAGGCCGTGGGCAGCAGCAAAGTGGGCTGGCCTGGTCCAAAGTCAGCCAAGGGAGAAGGGAAGGCAGAGGCCGTGGGCAGCAGCAAGGTGGAGCACTGGCACGGTCGTCATTCACAGCTCCCAGGGTAGGGGCCAGCTCCCGCCAGAGTCACCACAGCTACATCCTGGGAAATGTCCACCAGGAGCAGGGTGCTTGCTGGTCTCAGCGCCCCACACCCGAGATATTTATCAGTTGCAGGGAAGAAAAGAAAGAGCCATTCTGCAGTAGAGCAATTGGCCTGCACCTTGACAAATGGTGGACGGTGTGACGTCCCCTGTGAGGGGCGACAGGACCTCGAGAGCCCTCGAGGAGATGCCCTGAGTCAGGCCAGCACCCCCTGTGCAGGGTCCCGGCCAAAGAACATAATTTCTGTATACATGTGGGAAACACAAGACAAACCCCAAATGAGAGGTCGTCTATCATCAAAGGGAAGGGGTGGGGGCTTTAAAGAGGGCCACCTCATAATAGACAAAGAAAGGCTGTGGGCTGTTCCCAAATGAAGGTGGCTAAAGAGAGGAACAGCAGAACACAGGGCCCGACCCTGGGCTGGGGGAAAGGCTGTGAAGGAGTCACTGGGACAGATGAGAAAACCAGAACACAGGCGGATTGGATAAAAACAGGGCGTCCATACCAAAAAGACTGAAGTTGAGAACTGCACTGTGGCTATATAGGGGCAGGTGCTGATTTTCAGGAAGTAGACATAAAGGGCCACGAGAGAGTAAAAGTACAAATGATAAAGCAAGGGTAGGTGGGTATTATTTGTACTATTTTTATTTGTGTGATTTAAAAATATATATTTGGAATTATTTCTAAATAAGAAGTAAAAAATTAAAAACAAACAACAAATGTCATGATTAAAGGCAAAGCGCTGGCCAGCGCAGGGGCTCACACCTGTAATCCCAGCACTTTGGAGGCCGAGGTGGGAGGATCGCTTGAGCCCAAGAGTCCGAGACCAGCCTGGGCAACATAATGAGAACCCCCCATTTCAAAAAAAATTTTTTTTTAATTAGCTGGGTATGGTGGTACAATCTGTAGTCCCAGCTACTCGGGAGGCTGGGGATCACTTGAGCTCAGGAGTTTAAGGCTGTAGTGAGCTAGGATTGTACCACTGCACTCCAGCCTTGGTGACAGAGCGAGATAGTGCCTCTAAAAAATTAAAAATAATAGTAATAATAATAAAGGTAAAAAGCAAATGCCAAAATGACAAGGAGTGCACATCCTCAGTATTTTGAGAAGCCTTACCAATCAGTCAGATCATCCTCCCCAAAGAAAAGTGAGTGAAACACACTGAGTTTCAGAGGCCTCACTTGAGAACCCTCCTGCCCTCCCCGCCTGAGTCCAGGACCAGCTGAGAAGGACAAAGGAGGACGACAGAGACCAACTATCCCGCCTGAGTCCAGGACCAGCTGAGAAGGACAAAGGAGGACGACAGAGACCAACTATCCCGCCTGAGTCCAGGACCAGCTGAGAAGGACAAAGGAGGACGACAGAGACCAACTATCCCGCCTGAGTCCAGGACCAGCTGAGAAGGACAAAGGAGGACGACAGAGACCAACTATCCCGCCTGAGTCCAGGACCAGCTGAGAAGGACAAAGGAGGATGACAGAGGCCGACTATCCCATGTCACTGCCGCAGCTGGGCAGTGGGACGTAGGCGGCCCTACAAATATGCAGCCCAGAGTGTGTCCAGACCTGCCCAGGCGTCAGCAGGATGGGCAGTTCACAGACAAGCCAGCCAGGCCACGGGCAGCTACTGGACAAGGCACACCTCGTCGCCATGCAGGCTACACAGAGGGGCCTGGGTGGCCTCCTGGGGAGGGGAAGGATCAGCTTCCCAGAGGGGTCTCAGCCAAGGCTCTCGGGGCAGGGAAGTGTTAGACAAGGAAGAGGGGAAAGGAGTTCCAGGGAGATGGACCAGCTAGTACAAAGGCCTGGGGGCAGACGACAGCAGGGTCGCGCCGGGGTGCAGGGTGTCCCCCTACCTCCTCCTGCAGGCTGCGGCAGCGTGAGGCGGCCAGCTCCTTCTCCTGCAGCGCATTGCTATAGTGCAGCGAGAGGCTGAGCATCTCGTCCTTCAGCCTCAGCACCTCATGGAAGTGTGCGCTAACCTCACGCTTCATGCGGCTGTGGTCAGCCTCCAGCTGGTGCAGGCCCTCGGCACGGGTCTCGGCCAGGCCCAGGTGCTCCTGCAGCTGCTGGCACCGCCGCAGCAGCACCTCCTTCTGCCCCTTTTCCTGGTTCAGCTCCTCCTGCAGGCTGCCGATGGCCCCAGCCAGGCACTCGGTCAGCTTGGATGTCTCCATGAGACCTGTGGGCAGATGGGCAGGTGAGCAAGTGAGCAGGTAGGGAGGTAATAGGTGGGCAGGTGGGTAGGTGAGCAGGTGAGCAGGTGGGCAGGTGAGCATGTGGGCAGGTGAGCATGTGGGCGGGTGAGCATGTGGGCGGGTGAGCATGTGGGCAGCTGAGCATGTGGGCGGGTGGGCATGTGGGCAGGTGTGCAGGTGCACAGATGGGCCGGTGGGCCGAGGCATGACTCCCATGCCCCCACAGCCTTGCCCAGACTCCCCAGCAGGCCCCCAGCTTTAACCTGCTGGTCTCCTTAAAAGCTCCTGGACCTCAAGCAGACTTGGTCTTTTGGTTGAATAAACAGCGTGACTCCCGATTTTGGCACGAGGGTTACCCACTCTGACCTTCCCCGTGAGACCCCACTGTTCAGACTTAATGACCCTCCTCGGTAGCTGAAATGCACTCAGTGCTAACTCATTTTAACGTTATCCTGAGAAAAAGATAAAAAAAGAATACGAATCCGCGTACTAGAACTCTAAAGAACATAAACACACACCGTGCTGGAACACAGGGAAAATGGTCTATTCTCCACTGTTTTGGGTCGTGTGAGTCCTGCTCCTGCTCCTTTCAATACCTAAATCTTTCAACAGCTCCTCCAGGGAAGCCTAGAATTACTCCCTGAAGGAAAATGGTGAGCAGTGCACAGAAGGCTCCGCGGCCCTGCCAAGGCCCTGTACCCTCTGGCCGGGGCCGCTCTGTCGCCTCCTAAGAGCTGAGGCTGGGCCGTTCTGGCCCCTCCAGCAAAGCCGCAAGGTTAAAGGCGGACTCCAGGAGACACTCCCTTGCCCTTTGCTTGTGTCTCTCCAAGCAGATTCTCCCCACCCTACCGCTCAGGGGTCTCCTTTTGGCACTGGGTAACTAAGGACCGACCCTTCAGAGTCAAGGCCCAGGGGCTCCTTATCCTATCCAACCCCAATACAGTGAGGGGGTTCCTCACCCTCAGAGTGCTGGGGCTGGGACAGGAACTGCAGCCTGGAGGGAAGGGGGAGTAGGGCAAATCGGCAAGTAAGCGGGGCACCTGGGGTTACCAGGAGCCTGAGGTTCCTAGAAGTGCCTGCCAAACCGTCAAAGTCGGAGCTCTCACCGCTAAAGTTACTGAAGTCAACATCAGGCTGCAGCCCGGTGACCAGGGTGTAGACGTCAGGGTTGTGGAACTTCAGGCTCTCCAGGAAGGCGATGGCCCCGTTCTTCCCTCGAGTCTTCAGCAAATCCAGCAAGTGCCCTTGGGAGGCAGAACCGTCTGTCTGGGCAGAACCCAGCTACCAAGGGGGCTGGGCTCCCTGGCTGGCTTCCCCACGGGGGAGAGGCCTGGGGCTGGGAAACCCCCCGCACATGTAAGAATCGGGAGGTGAAAGCGGTTTTCTGGGTTCTGCTGGGTGGGACGCGCCCTCACTGCTCTCACAGGCTCCCTTTACCCCCATGACCTCAGTCAGACTCGAGAAGGGCAAAGCTGGCATGTATCGAGCAACTACTGCAACCCCAGTGCTCTGGCGAGTGCGGGGGGACCGGGACGGGGTGAGGAGGTGGGTCCCTGCTTGCAAGCACCTCCCTGGCAAGCTGGTGGGTGATGCAGACGCAGGGTCCCACCACGGTGCTGTCAGCTTTGGAGCTGCGCACAGAAAGCAGAGTGGCACCCCGGGGCTGCGGGTGACAGGTCCCAGAGAGCCTCGGGGCCTTCCACGCCCAGGGCCCAGAGCCCATCTCTCTCAGCCAGAATGACCAGCGTGCATCAATCTCTCCTGTGTTTGGGGTTCGTACGCCAACATGCATGAACATTATCATGTTGACAGCTACCACCTACTGCCTGTTTTCTATGGCCCCAGCTTTGCAGTGAGTGTTTTATAAACAGTAACTCATTTGCTTCTCCTAACAACCGTATACAGTAAAGCCATTACCATCCCCATTTTTTAATGAATAAACACTAGTCAGACCATCAGAATGGACTCCAAAGACAGCTGTAGTGGTGTGAATGGTGGTTCCCCTTCAAAGACACATCCACCTGGAACCTGTCCAGATGACCTTTTTTGGGAAAAGGGCCTTTGCAGATATAAGTTAATGATTTCAAGATCAGATCATCCTGGTTATCCAGGTGGGCCCTAAAGGCAACAGCAAGTGTTTTTATAAGAGACAGGACGAGAAGAGACCCCCTGAAGACAGAGGCAGACAGTGGAGCCATGTGGGCCACGGGAAGCTGGAAGAGGTGGGGAAGAGGGAGCTGCGCTCACCGGCCCGCATGGCGCTGTTGGTGAGCCGGGGGCTGTGCAGCACCTCCTCCTCGTCCAGCTGGCACAGCACCTTGGCCTGGCGCAGGTAGGGGGTGAGGCGGCTGGGGCAGATGCAGCGTACGATCCTGTGGCGGTGGCTCTCCATCATCTCCCACAGTGTCTCCTCGTCCAGTGCCGTGAGTGCGGAGTCCCTGCGGCACAGTTCCCCCATGGCTGGGCGCTGGGAGGACCCTAGGAGGGGTGGCCATGGGGGTGGAGTTGTCAGGTAAGCAGGACCCCAGGATAGCCAGGGTGACACCGTTTTAAAATCAACTCCATCGTAAAATTAGCAAGGCGCACTCTTTGCCAGTCAGAACCCACAGTCTTGAGATGTTTACGGCAGAGGAAGCATTCCAGTGGCCATTTGCCATTCTGGTTTCTCCCTCTGTGTAAGGTTGAGTGCCACGGCCCCACCTGCTCTACCCCAATCCTAAGCAATAAAGTCACTAAATCACACTTTGTTGTGTCAGTTACAGCTTTTTCTAAAAAATTAAAGTAAATAAATACTTTTTTTTTTTTTTAGAAATTCATCTAAAATAATGGTAGTAGGCTAGGCGTATTGGCTCACGCCTATAATCCCAGCACTTTGAGAGGCGAAGGGGGAAGGATTGCTCAAGCCTAAGAGTTCGAGACCAGCCTGGCAAATATGGTGAAACCCTGTCTCTACTAAAAATACAAAAATTAGTCAGGCATGGTGGTATGCACCTGCAATCCCAGCTACTTAGGAGGCTGAGGCAGGAGGATCACTTGAGCCTGGGATACAGAGGTTGTGGTGAGCTGAGATTGTGCCACTGCACTCCAGCCTGGGTGACAGAGGGAGACCCTGTCCCGGTAAACAAACACACAAACAAACAAACAAACAAACAAATAACAGTAGGGGTGCTGCACTTTGGAAATGCTGCTTTATAAGTTCTTTATGAAAGGTAATTTTCATTAGAAGCAAGACTGTCGGCTTCTCTAGAGCCGAGATCGTGCCACTGCACTCCAGCCTGGGCAACAGAGCAAGACTCTGTCTAAAAAAACAAAAAAAAAAGTTCCCATTGTTTTCAACTACGCAGCAGGTGGTCCCTTGTTTGCAGCGGCCCAGGACAGTGACACAGAGGACTGCGCAGAGGACTCCACATGAGGGAAATGTGCTGGGGAGTGACACTGGGCACAAGTGCCTCGCAGAAGACACTTCAGGGTAGTAACGGCCAGCACGGCTCGGCTGCGGGGGGTGTGGGCTTACAAAGATGGCGAGGCAGACAGAGGGTGGACAGGTCCCCGAAAGGGCTGAGCTGCAGCTGATCTGGGGCCACCACCAGGGCTGATGTCCCAAGCCCAGGTCTGTCTGGACAGAATACACGAAGCAGGTCGCCGTTACAGCCCGGAACACCTGCTCTTCAGGGGACATGCTGGCTAGTGCAGACTCTAAGAGCTGTTGGAGGTCCTCAGCCGTCACCTGCCCAGCCTCCCATCCCAGCGAGAGATGAGCTGTGTACCCCACTGTGCCCCTGCCTGAGCCCCTCTCTGGCATCAACATGAGGCCATTAGCCCATTAATCCATCTAAATAATTTTAAAATGTTTTAAAACTGTGCACTGTTTTCAGCATATTAAAAAATCCTGCAAATAACAAATATCCACATATCTACCATGCGGATTCAACCATCTTGACATTCTGCACTTCAGGTTTCTTTTTAAGGAAATGCGAGGCAGATGGCGCCTTTTTGTTCTCTTCAGTCCCTCTTCCCTCCCTCTCTGGCCAGACATTCTAAAATCATTTAAAAATGATTTTTTTTGAGGTAGGGTCTCACTCTGTTGCCCAGGCTGGAACGCAGTAGCGTGATCGTGGCTCACTGCAGCCTTGAGCTCCCAGACCCAAGCAATCCTCCCACCTCAGCCTCTCAAGTAGCTGAGACCGCAGGCATGCGCCACCATGCCTGGCTTCTTTTTTAATTTTTGTAGAGATGGAATCTCCGTATGTTGCTCAGGCTGGTCTCGAACTTCTGGGCTCAGGTGATCTGTCTACCTCAGCCTCTGAAAGTGCTGGGATTACAGTCCAGCCTAAAAATGATATTTTAAAAATCATTTCCTACAAATGGAAGTGTGTATAAACAGTACATAGCATCTTTGCATGATACTTCGTGCAGACAGCAGCTTTACATCAACAGTGCCTTCAGTGTTAGCTGGAACTTCACAGAAACTATCGTTCTGTGCAAGGCTGTACGGCTTCTGAGGTTTCTCATACTGATACATGCAGCTTGATACATGCATGGTCCTTTAAACTGTGCACTGGATTCAATGATATGAATAACCACAGTGGACTTACGCTCCTGTGGGAGGATATCAGGTTGTGCCTAATTTTTCTCCACTGCTCACAGAGCTGCAGCCACCGCCTTTGTTAATCTCCTGGGCACAGATGGGAGCGATTCCTTACAGACCCATGAATTCCTGTGACTTGATTCTTTTCATTTGGAAGGAGAGGCTGGACCACTGGAGACAGATGCCTCTTGCAGGGATCTGTATGCTAAAAATACTTGAAAATCAGAGCAAATCAACACCTGTCATCTGAAAAATGGAAAATGGGCCGGGGCCAGTGGCTCATGCCTGTAATCCCAGCACTTTGGGAGGCCAAGGCGGGCAGATCACCTGAGGTCAGGAGTTTGAGACTAGCCTGACCAACATGGTGGAAACCCGTCTCTATTGAAAATACAAAAATTAGCCAGTCATGGTGACGGGTGCCTGTAGTCCCAGCTACTTGAGAAGCTGAGGCAGGACAATCACTTGAACCTGGGAGGCAGAGGTTGCAGTAAGCTGAGATTGCATCATTGCACTCCAGCCTGGGTGACAGAGTGAGACTCCATCTCAAAAATTAAAAGATAAAAATAAAACATGGAAAATGATCGTTGGAGAGTCGTGTGTGCAGGAGCAGCGCCAGAAGCCGTCCCAGGAGCCGGGTCTCCGGAAGTACTCACCAAGGTTCTCAGGTTTGCTTTTGCAGGAGCTCCGTGCAGCAGGGTGGGGTCCACAGTCCCCGCAGTGTCTCCAAAGCCCAGTGTGGTGCCAGCTGCCTCCTTTCTCTGCGGGCTGCTGGGTGGGACGGAGCTGGGCAGAAGGAAGAGCCTGAAGTCAAAGCAGCACCAGGTGAATTGACCGTGATTTCAAAGCCATGTGACCTGTTCCAAAACTCAAGGTTCGGTCACAACCACCGCAAGCGGCGGGGAAAAGACGTCAGACTCGGATCCGGGAAATAACTCGACGGACCTTTGACCCCTGTGGTTTTCCCAGTAACTATTGAAGCTTCCTTAGCACTTGGAAGCAGACTTCTAGAATGGACCTGGGCTTTGAACCCTAGACTACCAAGGAGAGTTGACAGGCGCAGTAGTTATCCAAAGCACCCACAGGCCTGTCTGCGGCTCCCCACAGGGCCAGGCCACTCATACCCTTCTGCTGAGTCTCCTTGCCCGGAAGGAAGAACAGCTGGAGAGGACAGTGACGGGCGCAGAGGCCGGGGTGGGCAGGTGAGGAGGAGAGGAGAACCAATCGAGGGCAGCTCTGCCTCATTCCTTCTGATCTCAGTCCTGTTTCTCACTGGAACAGGTGATTGAGGCTTGCGAGTCAGGGTGTCACTGATTGTGGCCCCCCGCAAAAGAATGCTGAAGTCTTGACCCCCAGTACCTGTAAGTAGGACCTCATTTGGGAATAAGTCTCTGCCAACGTAATCAAGTTGAGGTCATTAGGGTGGGCCCTAGTCCAGGGATGGGTGCCCTTATAACAAGAGGAGAAGGGCTGGGTGTGGTGGCTCATGCCTGTAATCCCACACTTTGAAAGGCCAAGGCGGGCAGATTGCTTGAGCTCAGGAGTTTGAGACCAGCCTGGGCAACACAGTGAGACCTTGTCTCTGCTAAAATCTGCTAAAAAAAAATTTTTTTTTTTTGAGACAGAGTCTTGCTCGTCTCCCAGGCTGCAGTGCAATGGCACAATCTTGGCTCACTGCAACCTTTGTCTCCCGGGTTCAAGCAATTCTCCTGCCTCAGCCTTCTGAGTATCTGGGATCACAGGTGCATGCCACCATGCCCAGCTAATTCTTTATTTTTAGTAGAGACAAGGTTTCACCATGTTGGCCAGGCTGGTCTCGATCTCCTGACCTCAAGTGATCCGCCTGCCTCGGCCTCCCAAAGTGCTGGGATTACAGGCATGAACCACTGCACCTGGCCTAAAAAAATTTTTTTTTTAATTAGCCAGGTGTTGTGGTGCACACCTGTAGTCGCAGCTACTTAGGAGGCTGAGGTGGGAGGATCGCTTGAGCCTGGGAGGTGTAGGTTGCAGAGCTGAGGTAGTGCCACTCCACTCCAGCCTGGACGACAGAGCAAGACCCTGTCTTAAAAAAAAAAGAAAGAAGAAGAAGAAGAGGAGGAGAAGGGCCCTAGGCCTAGACACCCCATGATCACCCCATGTTGGCAGAGGCCGAGACTGGAGTGACACGCCAAGGGTCGGTGGCAACACTAGAAACTCAAGAGAAGGCATGAAGCAGACCCTCCCTGGAGCCTTCATGGGGGTGCGGCCCTGCTCACCCCTGGAGTGTGGACTTCTGGCCTCCAGAACCATGAGCAAATACATTTCTGTTGTTTTAAGCCACCCAGTTTGTGGTAATTTATGACGGCAGCCAGAGGGAGCGTGCACAGGGGCAAAGGCGATGTGGAAATTGTCCGTCCATCTCCAGGGATGCGCTGCCAATGGGCACACTCCCACAGAAGGCTCCTGAGCTCCTGGGCCTCCACCCAGTAGAAGCCTGCGTCGCTAGAGTCTGACTCCAAGTCAGAATGATCCTCTGCCCCACTTCAGGACCAGCTATATCGTCTGTGGAGCTCAGGGCAAAATGAAAGGATGGTGCGTTTGTTTTAAAAACGTATTCAGAATTTCAAGGCAGCAATAGCGAGCAATAAAGTCAGCCCAGGGCCCCCACTCCAGCCCTGCCCTGCATCACCGAGGGGTCTTCAGGCCCCCTGTCTATCAGGATGTCAGGATGGTAGCTAAAGGTAGGGGATGTTTCCTTTACAGATGATGGAATGTCCTAAAGTTAACTGTGGCGGCGATTGCACACATCTGTGAATACACTAGAAGCATCTTAAACGGGTGAATTGTGTGCCGTATGGGTTATAGCTCTTCCTTTTTTTTTTTTTTTTTTTTTGAGACAAGGTCTTGCTCTGTTGCTCAGGCTGGAGTGCAATGGTGCAATCTCAGCTCACGGCAACATCCGTCTTCTGGGCTTAAGTGATCCTCTACCTTAGCCTCCGGAGTATCTGGGAATACAGATATGTGCCCCCATGCCAGGCTCATTTTTTTTGTTGTTGTTGTTTTTTGTAAAGAAGGGGGTCTCACTATGTTGCCTGGGCTGGTCTCAAACTCCTAGGCTCAAGTGATCCTCCCCCCTCAGCCTCCGAAAGTGCTAGGATTATAGGTGTGAGCCACTGTGTTTGGCCGTGAGTTATATTTCAACAAAGTTGTTTAAAAAAAAAAAAAAAGATCCAGGCTTGGTGCAGTGGCTCATGCCTGTAATTTGGAAGGCAGAGGCAGGAGGATCGCTTGAGCCCAGGAGTTCAAGACTAGCCTAGCAACATAGCACGATCCCGTTTTTAAAAAAAAAAAAAAAAAAAAAAAAAAAAAAAAAAAAAAAACGATCCGAGAGCAGCTGGCAATCCCACCCTGCCTCCTGCTTCCCTCTCTCATCCCTGCCAGGAAGCAGGAGGAGGGTGGGCTGAGGAGGTCCCTGCAGTGCCCGGTTCTGCCCCTGCCACCCCAGGGCCAGGGCTGGGGGTCCACAGTGCGTGGGACACCGGCACCCACTTTCCTTTCTCTTCGTTTTCAGCCTAGGCTGGGCCCCCATCCCAGCCAGGCCCTGCCTGTTCAGCGTCCCCACCACAAGCGGGGTTCCTCTCTTGCCAGCTCCTGTTCTCTGCCTGGAGGTGTCGGGCAGGAGCACGTGCTCTGGGCGTTTCCCTGCCAGCCTCCTCCCTTCCATCCCCTTGGCTTCCTCATTCCAGAATCCCTGTTCACCTCAGCTGACCCTGTGACCCCCTAGGAATGTCTCTGGCTCCTGCAGAGGCGTCTGGGCTTCCCCTCACGCCTTCTTAGAGGACAACCAGTGGGCGCAGTCGCTCTGTCACGTCAAAGTCTCCAGATCAAACCCAACAAAGGATCAGGGCAGCCTCCTGTACCTCCCTCCCCAGCTCCTGGTGAAATGAACCAAATGTTGCGTTTTAAAAAGTTAAAAAAATAAATAAGTGAATAAAGCAGCAACCACAAAATGAGGAAAGGAAAACAACTTTTCTGCCACAAACTGAAAAATAGCAGGCCGGGCATGGTGGCTCACACCTGCAATCCCAGAACTTTGGGAGGCTGAGGCAGGCAGATCGCTTGAGCCCAGGAGTTCAAGACCAGCCTGGGTGACATGGCGAAACCCTGTCTCTACAAAAAATACAAAAATTAGCCGGGCATGGTAGCGTGAGCCTGTGGTCCCCAAGCTACTTGGGAGGCTGAGGTGGAAGGATCACTTGAGCCCGGGAGGCAGAGGTTGCAGTGAAATGAGATTGCATCACTGCACTCCAGCCTGGATGACAGACTGAGACCCTGTCTTAAAAAAAAAAAAGAAAGAAAGAAAAAAGAAAAATGGCAGACAAGCCCTGAAACCAAAGGAGTGCTGCCAAGGGGCACTGGGGGCACAGGTGCCAGCGCAACCCTTAGGGACAGACTGCGGGAAGAGAGGGCTTCAGCATCCCTCTACTGTTTGGGCAGCTGAAGAGAAGTCTAGGGAAGTCAGAGAAAACGCCCCAGAGCTGCCTCCAGCTTCCCTGGGAGTCCTCAGCAGGAGTGGGGAGGGGGCTGTACTGAGCCAGGAGAGAACCCAGGCCCGGCTGTCCTTCTCAGCGCAGGGCAACCACTGGATTTCTTTAATCACACATCCAGGACTAAACTACGGTGGGAATAGAGTCTTCCAGCCAAATAAGAAGATTCTTTACCCTAAGAAATAATGCAAGCAGTAGAAATCGGGGTAGGGGGTAGGGGAAGGAAGGCATCACTTTATCTTCCATGACCCTGTGCTATCTAAAATAAAGGAAGTCCAGGCGACGTGGCTCACGCCTGTAATCCCAGCACTTTGGGAGGCAGAGACGGGCAGGTCGCCTGAGGTCAGGAGTTCCAGACCAGTCTGGCCAACATGGCAAAACCCTGTCTCTACTAAAAATACAAATATTAGCTGGGTGTGGTGGTACATGCCTGTAATCCCAACTACTTGGGAGGCTGAGGCAGGAGAATCGCTTAAACCCGGGAGGCAGAGGCTGCAGTGAGCTGAGATTACGCCACTGCACTCCAGCCAGGGAGACAGACCGAGACTCCATCTCAAATAAATTAATAAAATAAAACAAAACGCTGATTTTATTTTATTGTATTTTCCGTTTTGTGGAGAATGGGGTCTTGCTATGTTGGCCAGGCTCTCAAACTCCTGGGCTCAAGCACTCCTCCCGCCTCTGCCTCCCTAAGTGCAATGATTACAGGTCTGAGCCACCAAACCCAGCACTGTTGATTTTACATAATGTCACTAATTTATCAAGGTTTTTGTAATCTCTTATCTGAATCTTGGGGATTTTTTAGGAACTAATAGTTCTTGTCATTGTGAAACTGTTCTACTACATTTGGCATTCCATTATTATTTTTAACAATTAAAAAATATTTTTTGGCTGGGCGCGATGGTTCACGCCTGTAATCCCAGCACTTTGGGAGGCCGAGGTGGGCAGATCATAAGGTCAGGAGTTCGAGACCAGTCTGGCCAACATAGTGAAACCCCATCTGTACTAAAATACAAAAAATTAGGCAGGTGTGGTGGTGTGTGCCTGTAATCCCAGCTACTTGGGAAGCTGAGGCAGGAGAATCACTTGAACCTGGGAGGCAGAGGTTGCAGTGAGCCGAGATTGTGCCATTGCACTCCAGCCAGGGTGACAGTGCGAGACTCCATCTAAAAAAAAAAAAATGCCGAATCTGGATGCACTGCCTATGAGTTAGCCCAGCTCCTCAAGGAGCAGTACATAAAAAATAAAAATAATAAAAAAAAACTTTTGCCAGCAACATCTGAGCTGAACTAAAATTTAAGTAAAATTAAAAGTTTACATTTCAATCATGTAGAATATGATACCATTTTTATAAAATGGTGTTAGTTTATCTCTGGGAGTCCCTCAATCTATGTGCCCATCCATCCATTCATCCAATCTGCCGATCAGTCTGTCCTGTCATTCCGCGCGCGCGCGCGCGCGTGTGTGTGTGTGTGTGTGTGTGTGTGCATGAGAGAGAAAGAGAGGGGGAGAGAAATGGAGAGGCAGAGAGCAGAGGGATTCTGGAACACTCCTCACCAATGCTAATGCTTGCTGTTCATGGTGGTAGATTGTAAAGAAATCTGTTTAGGCCTGGTGCGGTGGCTCACGCCTGCAATCCAGCACTTTCAGAGGCTGAGGCAGGCAGATCACTTGAGGTCAGAGTTCGAGACCAGCCTGCCAACATGGTGAAACCCCATTTCTACTAGAAATAGAAAAATTAGCCGGCTGTGGTGGTGCTCGCCTGTAGTCCCAGCTACTCAGGAGGGTGAGGCAGGAGAATCGCTTGAACCTGGGAAGTGGAGGTTGCAGAGAGCTGAGATGGTGCCACTGCATTCCAGCCTAGGAGCCAGAGTGAAACTCTACCTCAAAAAAAAAAAAAAAAAAAAAAAAAAGAATGTTTAGAATAAGCAAGTATGGGTTCAATAAAAACCATAGTCATTATTTTAGAAAACAATAAAATTAATCCAATTGATGAAACAGAGAAGGAGATGGGCCTCATCCTAGAAGTGTTCGCCACAGAACACTGGGGTCCTAGGTTGTCTGGGACAGTCCTTTTATGACTCTTGTCCTGGAGTAATGATCAACGGTGCCACCTTTCTCTCTCAATACAGACTCGGTTTAGGGGGCATCATGGCAAGGGGAGGCGAAGGCACGCCGACGCCGAGCTCCTCCAGCTACAGCGGGGACACCAGCAGAAACGTCTCCTCTCCTGCTCCCCTCAGCCCCGATGAAAGCGGCACATGGAGAGGGTGGGAGCCCAGGGGATGACAGATACTGGCTGAAGTGGGGAAAGTTCTAGAAGAAGGAAAGCGGGAGGAAGTCTTGGCTGGTCTAGGATGCATCAGTCAGGAAGACAACTGTTTCTTCCCCTCAGGGCAGGATTTCTCAGCTTTCTACTTAGTGAAGGAGAGTGCAGCATCTTTATAAAATCCCAGTATTTGCCCCCAAATCTCTTACGAAACATCTACTTCAATAGGCATTCGGCCTGAGCCTAGAGGTTCCAAGGCAGATGGAAAATACAGGTGTCCCTAAACAGTCGCCTACAAGGCCTTTCTTTGGGGCCAATGGCCTTGTGATTAAGTTGGTGCCAAAGAGCCAATGACTGAAAAACTAGGGCTTACCGCAGTATAATGTTTGTTTCTAGCAAATGACACTCTGGCACGCTCTCCAGTATCTTACTATATCGAGTTGCCAAGGGGCCACATCTCCAGCTTGCAGCTGAAACCCTGGGAGTTCTGGACAGCCAGGTCTCTGCGGATATCCTGAGGACCAGGACTGGTGGTCAGCCGAGGACTACAGGTTTCTCGGGTGCCTTCCTGGGGCTGGGTCCAGGTGGCAACGACCGGGTCTGGGAGGGTCCTCTAGTTGGATTGTCCCTCTGCCCCTGACTTGCCCGAGCCTCACAAGACTCCTGAGGAGGGTCTGAGGGTGCTGACTGTGCCCTCCCATCAGACTGAACTCAGAAAGCCAGGGCAGCTCAAGCCAAAGCTGCCTCACCAGCAGCTGAAGACAGGGGCTCTGCAGAACTCTCCAGACCCCAGCCAACTGCCCCAGCCAGCTGCCCCTCAGGCTTCTGGAGCCCCCAGAGCCACACTGAACTTCAAGCATCAGTGGGTGGAGCTAAATAGAAGTCACTAGTCCCTTCTGCAGTTGCCATGAAGCAACTTACAGTAGTCTCCAATGGCAGTTAACAATTGCAGGAGTTTCTTTGTAACTTGTCCCAGTGTAAATAAGGGTTAGTCCTAACAGTAAAACAAAACAAAACAAAACAAAAAACCTTAGGGCTGGGCACAGTGGCTCAGGCCTGTAATCCCAGCACTTTGGAGGCCAAGGCAGGAGGATTGCTTGAGCTCAAGAGTTCAAGGCTGCAGTGAGCTATGATTGTGCCACTGCCCTCCAGCCTGGGTGACAGAGCAAGACCCTGGCTCAAAAAAAGGAAAAGAAAGAAAGAGAGAGAGAGAGAAAGAAAGAAAGAAAAGAAGAAAAGAAAGAGAGAGGAAGGAAGGGAAGGAGAGAGAGAAGGAAGGAAGGAAGGAAGGAAGGAAGGAAGGAAGGAAGGGAGGGAGGGAGGGAGGGAGGGAGGGAGGGAGGAAGGGGAGGGGAAGGGGAAGGTGAATGGGAAGGCGCCAGGAGCCGTGGCTCACGCCCGTAATCCCAGCACTTTGGGAGACCAAGATGGGCGGATTACCTGAAGTCAGGAGTTTGAGACCAGCCTAGCCAACGTGACAAAACCCTGTCTCTACTAAAAATAAAAAAATTAACCAGGTGTGGTGGCGTGCACCTATAGTCCCAGCTACTTGGGAGACTGAGGCAGGAGAATCACCTGAACCCAGGAGGCAGAAATTGCAGTGAGCCGAGATTGTGCCACTGCAACTCTAGCCTGGGCGACAGAGGGAGACTTCTGAAAAAGGAGAGAAGAGGGGAGGGGAGGAGAGGGGAGAGGAGGGGAGGGGAGAGGAGGGGAGGGGACGGGAGGGGAGGGGACGGGAGGGGAGGGGAGGGCCCAGAGATCTCTAATTCCAAACTCTGAATCTAACTGTACAGCAATTCTAGAAGAGCCTAAGATCATAAAATCCTGAGCATCTAAGATGTGGGTTCTCCTTATTTGACCCCTCCCAGGTCAACATCCTTCTCCTAACCCAAGTGTCAGTCTCTTCCCTTGCCAGTGAAGTAGGGAAGAAGGCATGTACACATACACACACGCACACGCACACACACACATGTACATACCCCATGGGGGGCAGAGGGTCACAAGCCCAGGAGGAGGGGGCACAGCTCACCTCGGCCCCCCAGTGCCATGACAGGCTGGCTGTGCCTCTGCTACCAACAGCAGCCAGCTGGTCTTGCTCACTTTGTTCTGAACTTAGACACCTTCCTTCTGCTGTCTTTCATCCCACGGCAATAGCGAAGAGATGAGAGTATAAAACAGAGATCCCTTTCATCTAGCATGACCCATGCTGTTTTAAGGCAGAACTCAGCATTCAGAGAATGTTCCAGTGATTGACCCAGCAACACAGACAAGCCGTTTTCTGTTCTCTAGTCCACATACAAGGCAGCTCCTCCACTCCTGATGAGGAAGATGCCGGCCCCTCCCACTCCCCTGGGACCACTCTCGGGCCCCATCAGACCTGTGTCGGCTGAGCCCCTCCGTAGGCTGAGCCCTCCGTAGGCTGACCTGCTCTTCGCCGGATGGACTGCGCGCACTTACCTTCCCCCTCCCAGGGAAGCGAGGACTGAATGTGGCCCAATCTCTGGCTGAACTGAACGGCAGTGGACAAGCAGGTTTGACAGGCACATCCCACAGGAGCAGTGCCTTATATGGGGCTTCTATGAGCCATCGAAGCACCAGTGCAGTCCCACAGCTAGACATTGCCGTAAGAACCACAGGGATGGCTGAGAACAGTCCGTGCATCTGGTCGACCCACAGAAGATGGTGATTGAGGGTGATTGAGGGGAAGGCTTCAGGCTTGGGGGCTGGGAATCCTCTCTCCTTTGTGAACGGTCACCCAGTTCATCATCATTTCTACCCTTGGGAAAATCCTACGAAGATCAGGATAAATTCTAGGGCCTTTCTTGGTTCTCATGATCCATTATTGGAAGTATCTGAATAATTCCAATAGATCCATCTCAAGTTAACATTTCATAACTATTGTTTAGATTTAGATGAAAGTCTTGGTCCTCCACCTTGAGATATGTCTAGAATCCGATCCATTCTCACCACCTGCATTGTGGTGTCCTGATCATGGCCCACCGGGACCTCTGTAATGGCTCCTAACTTCTTCCCACGCCCCCATCACCAGCGCTCAACACAGCAGACAGAGAAGTCCTGCTAGGGCATGAGTCAGCTCCTGTCATTCCCTTCGGTGTACAGGTCCTGGAGTCCTCAGCGTGACCATGAGGCTCTGCTTATCAGGTCCTTGCTGACCTTATCTCTCTTTTACCTGCTCCAGACACACAGCCCAACAGTCTTGACAGTCCAGGCACACTTCTGCCCCAGGGCCTTTGCACCTGCTGTTCCCACTGCCTGGAACACTCTTTCCCATCCCTCCTTCCAGACTCTACTCAAATGCTACTTCCCAGATCATCCTACTTAAGTCCGTAGACCTCCCATCCTGGCCTTCACTCCCCTTCCCTGTTCCATCTTCTCTGTGGGAATACTGCCTTGACCTAACGTGTATTCTAGTTACGTGGCTTCCTGCCAGCCTCCCCACTCCACAGTAACCTACTGAGGACAATAATTCTTGTCTTTCTTGTTCCCTGCTGTGTCCCCACCCCTAGGGCTGTGATATTCCACAAATATTGGTTGAGCGAATGAATAAACATTGGTTAGGGGCTTGGTTCCCAATGATGCAGACACTGAAAGAAGGGAAATTCACAGGTCCATGGCCTGAGAACCTTCAGGATTATCCTGCGGACAATCAAAGATCGGCCTTCAAGGTCATGTAGCTCATGGTGGCTGAGCAGTAGCTCCAACCCAAATCTCCTGGTGATGAGCCGGCTGAAGGCACAGCCAGTTGGGCAGAGCAAGTGAGAACGCAGGCCGAGGCCAGGTGCAGACATGAACTCTCCAACCAGGGTTACAGCCCCACTGGGTGTCAGCTTCCCCTCAGGCAGTTCATTTAAGCCCCTAAGGCTCAGCTCTCTTAGTTTCCTCCAGCAGACCTCATGATAAGCCCTCCCCCACAGTGGGGAAGCTTGCCAGCTCATCACACTGTGCCAGCCACACAGAGAATTCTAGTTACAGAAAACGCAAAGAAATGCCGCCATTCCCAGTAAAAGAGGGGGGCAGAAGAATGCACTGGAGATGGGAGGAGCCTCCCTAAGAACAGAAATAGCCATAGAAATAGTCAAGGTGCAGCCATAGAAAGGAATGAAGGGCCTTTGCAGAGACATGGATGAAGCTGGAAGCCATCATTCTCAGCAAACTAACATGGGAACAGAAACCCAAACACTGCATGTTCTCACTCATAAGTGGGAGCTGAACAATGAGAACACATGGACACAGGGAGGGGAACAACACACACTGGGGCCTATGGTAGGGGGAGTGGAGGGAGAGCATCAGGACAAATAGCTAATGCACGTGGGGCTTAAAACCTAGGTGATGGGTTGACAGGTGTAGCAAACCACCATGGCACATGTCTACTTATGTAACAAACCTGCACATTCTGCACATGTATCCCGGAACCTAAAATAAAATAAAATAAAAAGAAACAGTCAAGGAAGCCACAACCCTGAAGGACCCTGTGTTTTCTGAGGTCAAAAACCATATCTTAGGCTAGGTGCAGTGGCTCATGCCTGTAACCCCAGTGCATTGAGAGGCTGAGGAGGGAGGATTGCTTGAGGCCAAGAGTTCGAGACCAGCCTGGGCAACACAGGAAGACCCTGTCTCTACAAAAAATAATTTTAAAAAAAAGCCGGGTATGGTGCAACATGCCTGTGGTCCCAGCTACTCCGGAGGCTGAGGTGGGAGGATCGCTTCAGCCCAGGAGGTAGACGCTGCAGTGAGCCGTGGTTGCACCACTGCACTCCAGCCTGGGCAACAGAAGGAGACCCTGTCTCAAACAAAACAAAACAAAACGTATCTTAATCACTATGGCATCTTCAGGAGGGCCCCACTGGCAGGTCATCTATATCACACAGAATTGCAGCTGCATACACATATCCAGAGCCAATAAAGCAGCACCTCTAGTAATCTGGCCAGGTTAGGTTAGGGTATCCCTGGAAAAACTCAGAAGGGGGACCTGGGGGACAGGGGCCAGCAGGCACCAGGACAGCACCACCCAGGGGCTCTGTGCCCCGTGGCAGTGATCAGTGAAGAAACGGACATGTGCCAGACTTGGGCCAGCTGAAGAGCTCCTCTGGGCACTTTTTTTTTTTTTTTGAGACAAGTCTCACTCTGTCACCCAGGCTGGAGTGCAGTGGCTTGACCTCAGCTCACTGCAGCCTCCACCTCCCAGGTTCAAGCGACTCTCCTGCCTCAGCCTCCCGTGTAGCTGGGATTACAGCTATGTGCCACCATGCCCAGCTAATTTTTGTATTTTTAGTAGAGACGGGGTTTCACCATGGTGGCCAGGCTGGTCTCAAACTCCTGATCCCAAGTGATCTGCCCACCTTGGACTCCCAAAGTGCTGGGATTACAGGCATGAGCCACCATGTCTGGCCTCCTCTGGGCACTTTATTCATCCATAGAAGGTAGGGAGTTGGGGAAAAGCTTTGCCTTGAAATCATGATGTTGGCACCAGAAGAAGATGGAGGCGTGAGGCCCTAGAAGAATAAAAATCAGACCCTCACAAGAAAACCCCAAGATCAGGAGTTTAGGTTGATCGAGGAAGGGGGCCTCTACCTGACTCCCCTGCCATGGGTGGATGTAAATAAAGGGTCAGGGTGTATAAACAGGGAGCGTATGCGTCTTCACTCTTGTACCTGGGGGCTGGGAGGATTCCAGGACTTCTTCCAAGACATTCGAAACAGGTCCTCAACATCCTAGCTGGAGACCAGAGTAGGTGTCTCTGGCTGGGTGGCTCTGCAGCGTGGCTGGCTGTGGATGAGGATGAGTGGCAGCAGAGACCTCACGCCCACCTCTGGGCCGCAACAGTGCGTGCAGTGGGCTGGGTGGGGAATGGCAGGAAGCAGCTATTTCCATAAGAGCTGGTAAAACTGGTCACTCCTGTTGTGTTTTACAACTGCCTACCTGACAGCTCCACTTGGATGTCTAGACACCTCAAATATAACCCAGCTAAGTCACATCTATTGACTTTTTTCTTTTTCATTTTAAATATTGAGGCGAAATTCACACAACATAGAATTAACCATTTACAAATTTTTTTTTTTTTTTTATACGGAGTCTCGCTCTGTCGCCCAGGCTGGAGTGCAGTGACGCGATCTCAGCTCACTGCAAGCCCCACCTCCCGGGTTCACGCCATTCTCCTGCCTCAGCCTCCCGAGTAGCTGGGACTACAGGCGCCCGCCACCACGCCCGGCTAATTTTTTGTATTTTTAGTAGAGATGGGGTTTCGCCGTGTTAGCCAGGATGGTCTCGATCTCCTGACCTCATGATCCGCCCACCTCGGCCTCCCAAAGTGCTGGGATTACAGGCGTGAGCCACCATGCCCGGCCACAAAAAAATTTTTTTTAAATACAGGGTTTTGCTCTGTTGCCCAGGCTGGACTGCAGTAGTGTGATCATAGCTCACTTCAGCCTCAAACTCCTAGGCTCAAGTAATCCTCCTGCCTCAGCCTCCCAAGTAGTTGGGATTACAGGCATGTGCCACCACATTCAGCTAATTAAAAAAAATTTTTTTTTGTAGAGATGGGGTCTTGCCATATTGCCCAGGCTGGTCTCAAATACCTGGCCTCAAGCGATCCTCCTGTCTCAGTCTTTCAAAGTACTGGAATTACAGGTGCATGCCACCATGCCTGGCTAATTATTTTATTTTATTTTTTCTAAAGATGGGGGTCTTGCCATGTTGCCAAGGTTGGTCTTGAACTCCCGACCTCAAGTGATCCACCCACCTTGGCCTGGGATTACAGGTGTGAGCCACAATGGCCAGCCAAAATTACCATTTTTAAAATGAACAATTCAGGCCAGGTGCGGTGGTTCACACCTATAATCCCAGCACTCTAGGAGGCCAAGGTGGGCAGATACCTGAGGTCAGAAGTTCGAGACCAGCCTGGCCAACATGGTGAAACCATCTCTACTAAAAACACAAAAATTAGCTGGGTGCGGAGGCTCACGCCTGTAATCCCAGCACTTTGGGAGGCTGAGGTGGGTGGATCACGAGGTCAGGAGATTGAGACCATCCTGGCTAACACGGTGAAACCCCGTCTCTACTAAAAATACAAAAAATAGCCGGGCATGGTTGCGGGCACCTATAGTCCCAGCTACTCGGGAGGCTGAGGCAGGAGAATGGCGTGAACCCGGGAGGCGGAGCTTGCAGTGAGCCAAGATCGCGCCACTGCACTCCAGCCTGGGCGAGAGAGCTAGACTCTGTCTCAAAAAAAAAAAAAAAGAAAAAAAAAGAAAAAAACATGAAAATTAGCTGGGCTTGGTGGCAGGTGCTTGTAATCCCAGCTACTCAGGACGCTGAGACAGGAGAATCGCATGAACCCCAGAGGTGGAGGTTGTAGTGAGCCAAGATCTCACCATCGCACTCCAGCCAGGGTGACAAGAGTGAAACTCTGTCTTAAAAAGATAAATAAAATAAAATAAAATAAAATAAAATAAAATAAAATGAACAATTCAAGCCAGGCATGGTGGCTCACACCTGTTATCTTAGAACTAGAACTTTGGGAGGCCAAGCTGGGAGGATTGCCTGAGCTCAGGAGCTCGAGACCAGCCTGGGCAACATGGCAAAACCCCGTCTCTAATAAAAATACAAAAAAATTAGCCAGGGGTGGTGGTGCATGCCTGTAATGCCAGCTACTGGGGAGACTGAGGCAGGAGAATTGCTTGAACCTGGGATGTGGAGGTTGCAGTGAGCCAAGACCACGCCACTGTACTCCAGCCTGGGTCACAGAGTGAGACTCCGTCAAATAAACAAACAAAAAAACACAATTCAGTGGCATTTAGTAAATATACAACATTGTGTGACCACTATATCTAGTTTCGGAACATTTTTACCACCCAAAAAGAAACCACACACCCGTTAAGCAGCTCCTGGTCCAAGGCAACCACCAATCTGCTTTCCATCTCTGGATTTGCCTGTTCTGCACATTTCATATACGTGGAGTTGTGTAATATGTGGCCTCTTGCATTGGTGTCTTCCCCTCTGCATGATGTTTTGAGGCTCTTCCATGTCATAGCCTGTGTCAGTGCCTCGTCCTGGATGTGGCCATATCATATTCCATTGTGTGAACGCCGTGCGTTGTCGATTCATTTGTCTGTTCATGGCCATCGGGCTCTCGTGAATGCTGCTATTGTAACCGTGCAGTGGGTTCATTTATCCCACTTCCCAGATAGAGCCAATTTATCAAGACAGGGGAATCGAAATAGAGAAAGAGTTTAATTCATGCAGAGCTGGCTGAACAGGAGACTGGAGTTTTATTATGACTCAAACCAGCCTCCCCAGAATTCGGAGGCTAGGAGTTTTCAAGGATAGTTTGGGGGCCCTGGGAATGAGTGCTGCTGGTTGGTTGCAGATGCAATGACAGGGGTGACAGTCTTCTTCTGGGTGAGGCCACAGGACACATTGGCAGGTCCAGGTGGAGCCATCAGCTATCAGAAATGCAAAACCCTGGCCAGGCGCAGTGGCTCACGCCTGTAATCCCAGCACTTTGGGAGGCCAAGGCAGACAGATCACAAGGTCGGGAAATCAAAAACATCTTGGCCAACATGGTGAAACCCCATCTCTACTAAAAATAAAAAATAAAAAATTAGCTGGGTGTGGTGGCACACGCCTGTAATCCCAGCTACTTTGGAGGCTGAGGCAGAAGAATCATTTGAACCCGGGAGGCAGAGGTTGCAGTGAGCCAAGATCGGGCCACTGCACTCCACCCTGGGCAACAAGAGCAAAACTCCATCTCAAAAAAAAAAAAAAAAAAAAAAGAAGAAGAAGAAGAAATGCAAAATCCTGAAAAGACATCTCAAAAGGCCAATCTTAGATTTATGCGTACACATCAGCAGAACTCAGGCTCCTTTCATCGTCCTAACTTGGTAGACTTTCATTAGCCTTATGATGACAGTTTAGTTTTGGAGAAGGGCTATTATCATTTAAACCACAAACTAAATGTCTCCCAAAGTGAACTTGGCACAAGCCCAGTTTGGAGGTTAAAGACAAGATGAGGCGTTTCGCTGGAGCCCATGAGGTTGAGGCTGCAGTGAGCTATGATTGCACCACTTCACTCCAGCCTGGGCTACTCAGTGAGACCCTATCTCTTAAAAAAATTAAAACAAAAACAAAAACAAACAAACAAAACAACCAAACTGCACACTTTGGATTCCATGTGGGATTAACAATGGAAGCTACTCCATTTTGGAGTCTGGTATTTAAAATTCTCACTGCGGCTTGGGTTTGCCTCCTGATCAGGGAATCAGTCCCTACTGGCTTCCATTTATTGATCCTTATCCCTTCCATGAACAGCTTTTGATTTCCTGCCTTCTGTCTTTGGGACACAGGGCTTTTGGACCCTTATGTGCAGGTGGTCAGCTGAGAAGCTGAGACCCTAGAGAATACAGCTGAACAGAAATGTGAGTTAGACTCCACTTGTGGCTAGTGAAACTTCACTTTCTTTGAGCTGTCTTTGGGATGGTTCTGGGTCTTATACAAAAAGAATTATCAGCTGTTTGGCCCAGCTAAAATCTGGTAACAAGAGATTTGAAAGGATTTTTTGGGGGGCAGGGGGGACAGAGTCTCACTCTGTCAACCAGGCTGGAGTACAGTGGCACAATCTCAGCTCACTGCGAGCTCCGCCTCCTGGGTTGAAGCGATTCTCATGCCTCAGCCTCCTGAGTAGCTGGGATTAAAGGCATGCACCACCATGCTTGGCTAAGTTTTGTATTTTTGGTAGAAACAGGGTTTCACCACGTTGGCCAGGCTGGTCTCGAACTCCTGGCCTCAAGTGATTCGCCCACCTCGGCCTCCCAAAGTGCTGGGATTACAGGCGTGAGCCACCACACCCGACCGATTCCCTCTCTTTTTAGACCACACGGGGTAACTTCCTGACATTGCCATGGCATTTGTAAACCATCATGGCGCTGGTAGGAGTGTCTTTTTGCATGCTAACACATTATAATTAGCATATAATGAGCAGCGAGGACAGGCAGAGGTCACTTCCATCGCCATCCTGGTTTTGGTGGGTTCCGGCTGGCTTCTTCATCGCATCCTGTTTTATCAGCAAGGTCTTTGTGACCTATATTTTGTGCCAACCTCCTATCTCATCCTCTGACTAAGAGTGCCTAACCTCCTGGGAATGCAGCCCAGTGGGCCTCAGCCTTATTTTACCCAGACCCTGTTCAAGATGGAGTCACTCTGGTTCGAACGCCTCTGACACCTCTGTTCACTTCATTTAAAAAAAATTGTTCTCCCATATACTTTTACTCCGCCCCACTCCTGCTTCCGCTGCCATATTCAGTACCATGTAAAGAGATCTAGAGATTTCTAATGACCCAAACCCCTTAAGGAACTCAGAAAAAAAAGATGCCACTCACCGTTGGTTGGAGGTCTTCTGCTTTCCTTGTGGAGTTTCAAGCACCACATGGAGAGTCTCCTGAGGTCTAACGCTCCGCTCTCTTTTGCACAGTATTACCCGATTTCTTTGGCTTTTCGGAGATACCAAAAATGACCCTGTATTGTGAGAAAACTTGACCGTGGTTTGCGTAATGGCTAGGCAAGAGATACAGTTTTAGAGGTGGCTGATGGCAGTTGCTTACAGAAAATGGTTATTACTACAGGGGGTGACAAAAAGCATGGTTTGGGGCACCAATGAGGTGGGAAATCAGCCGGATTTGTTTTCTGAGCACCGGTAATGACCCTGCTGGTCAAAGCAGGATGCAAACTGGGTGCAGTGGCTCATGCCTATAACCCCAGAATTTTGGGAGGCTGCAAAAGGAGGATCACTTGAACCCAGGAGTTTGAGACCACCCTGGGCAACATAGTGAGACCCCCATCTCTACAAAAAATTAAAAAATTAGCCAAGCATGGTGGCATGTGCTTGTGGGCCCAGGTACTTGGGAGACTAAGGCAGGAGGATTGCTTGAGCCCAGGAGGTCAAGGCTGCAGTAGGCCATGATTGTACCACTGCGATCCAGCCTGGGCAATGGAGCGAGACCCTATCTCAAAAAAAAAAAAAAAAAAAAAAAAAAAAAAAAGCAGGCTTAAATAAATAAAGAAAAAAACCAGCTGAAACCAGCAGATGGAAAGCAAAGTGACCTCCAGTTGCCCTCACTGCTCATCAGCATGAAGACCTTCCTTACGGCACTATGACAGCCTATAAATGCCATGGCAATACCCTACATGGTTCCAGAACTCCCCTACTTCTTTTCTAGAAAATTCAGAATAGCCCACCCCTTGATTAGCATATAATTAAGACCGGGTGTAATTGTGGCTAGCCAGTGCTCCCTTGTTGCAGCTGTGGCTGCCCCTGCTGCTGCTGCTGCTCCTCCTCCTGCTGCTGTTTACTGCTACTCTAGCCTCTCCCTGTGGGTTAGCCCTGCTCTTAAATTATTTCCTGAGCAAAGCCAAGAACTCTCTCAGGCTAAGCCCCAATTTTGAGGTGTGCCTGTGTTACCTAGAGGCTATGAAAACACAGCCCACCAAGGGATACGACTCCACGGGCGATAGGCTGACCACAGATTGGGATAACTGGCTTTGTTTCCGAGTACCCCCATTTTTCTAAAAGATGTTTAATTATTTTTTTCCTCTCTTTTTTTCTCCTTTTCCCAGTTCCTGACTTCCTACTTAGCCCTTTAGGTATGCAAATCTAGCCTTTTCTCCCCTCCTTCACCAGACAGTCCCTCGAGATCCCCCGGCAAGTGCATCTAACTCCTGGAGAGTTAACAGTTGATTTACAGACCAAAGCATGCCTGCTATGGAACTCCCCCATCAGGGAGTGGCCTGGAGAGATAATGGTCTGCCCACAAAAGTGCCAGCAGTCACAAGCTCGACCACCTGATAAGGCACTGGAGCTAGCATGAACCCACTCCTGCCCCTGCTCACTTCCTCCCCTGTCTTTTAGAAGTGCCCACTTTCTGTTCCAAAAGCAAAGTGGGACAGCTAAATGCAAGACAGATGCCTGTGCCACTTCCCCAAGCTACCTTTGGAATAAATAACCTTATTTGTGCCAGGCCTCATTCTAAATAATTGGACTCTGCAAGTGGCCAGCAACTAACCTACTCTACTGTTGAGTTAGAGCTCTGGGTTGCCCACCAGCCTCCAGGGAATGTCCTTACAATGAAATGCACTGTGGGGAGCATCACACCATCCCGTCCCATGACAAAATGAAATGCACTGTGGGGGTATTGCCCGGTCCAGTCCTGTGCTGAAATCAAATGCACTGTACTGTCCAGTCCCATGACAAAATGAAATGCACTGTGGGAGCATCACGCCGTCCAGTCCCGTGCTGAGATGAAATGTACCGTGGGAGGATCACACCGTTCAGTCCTGTGAGGAGATGAAATGTACCGTGGGAGCATCACGCCGTCCAGTCCCGTGCCGAGATGAAATGCACCGTGGGAGGATCACACCTTTCAGTCCTGTGAGGAGATGAAATGTACCGTGGGAGCATTGCACCGGCCAGTCCCACACTGCTCTCTTCTTTCTGGGACCCAGGATTTGGTGTAAAAATGGGATCTTTGATTTTGGAGGATCTGTGCTCTGCCTTCCAGCTGTGCCTGCTTTATGCGTATTTAAAGATTAGGCCCTAAAAACACCATGCTTTCTTTCCTCTTTTCATTAAAGGGCTCTACTCTTCAGGGTAATCTAATTTATCTAGTCATCTAATTAAGAAACAGGCCCTCTCCCTCTCCCTCTCCCTCTCCCTCTCCGTCTCCCTCTCCGTCTCCCTCTCCCCATGGTCTCCCTCTCCCTCTCTTTCCACGGTCTCCCTCTGATGCCGAGCCAAAGCTGGACTGTACTGCCGCCATCTCTGCTCACTGCAACCTCCCTGCCTGATTCTCCTGCCTCAACCTGCCGAGTCATGTTTTTGGAGATGAAAATTTACAGTTCCCTCACAATTGTTTAGGGCATGAAACAGTTAAGAGATTAATAGTCTGAAGTGAGGGAGAGAAACTATTTGAAAAATGGCAAATGAAGAATCTTATGAGTCTATAAGATCTGCTTCTGTTTGTGTGTTTGTATGTCTATGTGTTTACGTATGTCATGTGTATGTCATGTTTCACTACCAAAATACATGAAAGAGCTCTAATTAATTGGCTTAAGGAAAAGGTAAGCACTTAAATCAAATATTTTATCAGAAAAACAGAAACGTTAACTCAAATGAGTTCTAGTTCAGGTGACTCTAGCAATCTTTGGTAAATAGGGTTCTAAACTATTGGTAAAACAGGACAGTAAAATGTCTTCAGAATTTAACTTAGACATTTTTGTCTAAGTCTAATGGTCTGTTTGGTCAGATTCTGTCACCTAAATGTTTTAAAGTCATAAAACTGTTGCTTATTATTTTAATTTTTTGAAACAGAGTCTTTTTCTGTCACCCAGGTGAGAGTTCAGTGGTGAGATCTTGGCTCACTGCAATCTTTGTTTCCTGGGCTCAAGCAATCGTCCCACCTCAGCCATGTGGAGGCATAGCTGCAGGCACTGTCCTTTGTCCTGGGCTCTGCATCCAGCACATTATTAAAATTGCTGACCTTCCAGGTTTTTCTCTAAAAATAAGTGTTACTAAGAGTTCACATCATAATTAATATATGTAATTAAAACTCCAGCCTGGGCTACACAGTGAGACTCCGTCTCAAAAATAAATAAGTAAATAAAACTACTAGATATAAGAAAAACATTTCTATATGCAAAATATATGAGGAAAGTAAAACGTGTTTTTAGTAAAGGAGGTTATAAGAAGCCATACCATTGTAGTTTTTGTTAAAGGGATATTAATTTTGCCTAGTTAAGTTTTACACTGAGGGAATTTAAAAATGATAGATAAAACTAAATGTATATAGAAAGTTGAAAAAGAAAATGGAAAATTGTCAAAGGTTATAAAAGGTTTATAAAAATCTTGTGGTCAAACTGGTTAAGAATGGATGGATTTGTTTATAAAATTTTATTAAAATTAGCTTTATTATTAATAAAACACTAATGCAAATGTAAAATTTGGTTTCCTTTTTCAACAAAATTTTTGTGTAATAAGAGTACACGATGTTTGTTTACCTTTTGAGTAAACTTCAAAAAACAAAACAAAATAGGTGAGGGAGGCAGACAGATTCAGTGGCCTCATGCTGCATTTATTAGTTTTTTGGCTTTTGAATTTTTTTTCAGATGGAGTCTTGCTCTGTCACCTAGGCTGGAGTACTGTGGCATAATCTTGGCTCACTGCAACCTCCACCTCCCAGGTTCAAGTGATTCTCCTGCCTCAGCTTCCTGAGTAGCTGGGATTACAGGCATGCACCACCACGCTTGGCCAATTTTTGTAATTTCAGTAGAGATGGGGTTTCGCCCTGTTGCCCAGGCTGGTCTCGAACTCCTGACCTCAGGTGATCCACTGGCCTCAGCCTCCCAAAGTGCCGGTATTACAGGCATGAGCCACCGTGCCCAGCCTGAATTTATTAGGTTTATGATTGTTTGGGAAACTGACTCTATTAAAGAGTATATAATTTTTGCTTTTTGAAGTATTTCAATTATCATTGTGGCTCAATGACCATTTTACAGTGACCTATGATCCTATTTTGTGATATGAAGTGTTTTAAACCTTTGATATTTGACAAACTATTTTCTTTTGAGCTATTTATAGCTTTTAACAATTGAGTGAAGTATATTCTTGTGAGCAAAATTTGAAGCATATTTCTTTCTCTTCATCTGATGTCTCCAAGTTTGAAAACTATTTGTGAGTATTCCTAATTTATGGCAATATAGTTATTTGCATAAGGTCAGTAAGAATCTGTTGTCTTTCATAACAGGACACAGTTGGAGACACTGATTATTTTACCAAGGCATTGACTAGAATGGCATATTTTAGATATGACTGGACTGTTTTGAGGAATTGAGGTTAACTTATAGAGCTGAAAAAAAGACAGTTGAAAAGACTGGCCTGGTACCTTGACTCAGTGGTTCCCCTGCAAGCTTCCTGACCTGTGTTAAGTAAAGAATGTCATTTTCTGATTAGGCCCAGGAATCTCAAAATATATTTTGAGACCTCTAGAATAAGTCATCCAACTTATACAGGTATCTGTAGGCACAGATAAATCCTTGGCTTGGCTCCCAACTCATACAGGTATCTGCAGGCACAGATAAATCCTTGGCTTGGCTCAAGAGGCTTTTACAAAGTCTGACCTTGGCCAGTCATGGTAGCTCAAGCCTGTAATCCCAATACTTTGGGAGATCAAGGCAGGAGGATTGCTTGAGGCCAGGAGTTCAAAACCAGACTGTGCAACATAGTAAGACTCCATCTCTCAAAACAACAACAACAACAACAAAGCCCAGTGTAATGATATGTTTCTCTCATCCAAGCTACTTGGGAGACTGAGGTTGGAAGACCACTTGAGCATAGGCGTTCAAGGTCATTGTGAGCTATGATCACACCACTACACTCCAGCCTGGGCAACAGAGTGAGACCCTGCATCAAAAATAAATAAGGCCAGGTGCAGTGGCTCATGCCCGTAATACCAGCACTTTGGGAGGCTGAGGTGGGCAGATCTCCTGAGGTCAGGAGTTTGAGACCAGTCTGAGCAACATGGCAAAACCCTATCTGTACCAAAAATACAAAAAATACTCAGGTGTGGTGGCATGCGCCTGTAGTCCCAGCTACTTGGGAGGTAGAGGTGGGAGGATCACTTGAGCCTGGGAGGCAGAGGTTGCAGTGAGCTAAGATCATGCCACTGCACTCCAGCCTGGGTGACAGAGTAAAACTCTGTCTAAAAGAGAGAGAGACAGAGAGATTAAATAAATAGTCTAACCTTATAAAAAGTTCCAGCAAAAGCAACTTAAAAGAGCCTATATGGCCAATTACTATTTTTACTATACTTTATGCAAATAATCGGGCCAAGTGTAATAAGACTAAAACTTATTTTACCAATATATTGGTCTTACTATGATTTCTTCTTGATAACAATGGGAAACTGGAGACAGAAAAATTATGTTTCAAAAGAAAACTACAGGCTGGGTGGGAGGATTGCTTGGGGCCAGAAGTTCAATACCAGCTTGGGTGACATAGCAAGACTTCTTCCCTACAATAATTTTTTTAAAGAAAGAATACTATAGTTCACTTGTTGTTAGTTTCCAGCCTTGTCCATTGTTTTTTCAGTTTTTATTATTTTCTACAATTTGTGATGAATCCTCCATTCTTATCTGGCTACAAATCTCCAAACTAACATTTTCAAAATCTTCTTCCATCTTTCTGATGTGGACTGAATGAAATTGCTACCACATTTTCCCTGAGGCCTTGCAAGCTGAAGCTCATACTATCAGGGGAACCAGCCTCCAATAAATATTTCAACGTAGGTTCTTTTCTATTTTCCCTAAGTATTGGCTGGTCTGAGAAATAAAGAGAAAGAGTACAAAAGACAGAAATTTTACAGCTGGGCCTCTGGGGGGTGACATCACCTATTGGTAGATTCCGTGATGCTCCTTGAGCCACAAAACCAGAAAGTTTTTATTAGGGGTTTCAAAAGGGGAGGGGGTACGAACAAGGAGTAAGTCACAAAGATCACATGCTTCAAAGGGCAATAAAAGATCACAAGGGCAGAAGGGCAGAGCAAGATCACAAGGCCAGGGTGAAATCAGAATTACTGATGAGGTTCCATGTCCCACTGGGCATGCATTGTCTTGACAAACATCTTAACAGGAAACAGGGTTTGAGAGCAGACAACCGGTCTGACTACAATTTGCCAGGCTGGAATTTCCTAATCCTAGCAAGCCTGAGGGCACTACAGGAGACCAAGGTGTATTTCATCCCTTATCTTCAACCACATAAAACAGACACTCCCAGAGTGGCCATTTTAGAGGCCTCCCCCTGGGAATGCATTCCTTTTCCAGGGTTATTCCTTGCTGGGAAAAGAATTCAGCAATATTTCTCCTATTTGCTCTCTGCAAGAAGAAAAATATGACTCTGTTCTGCCCGGCCCCGCAGGCAGTCAGACCTTATGGTTATCTTCCTTGTTCCCTGAAAGTCACTGTTACCCTGTTCTTTTTTAGGATGCCCAGATTTCGTATTGTTCAAACACACGTTTTACAAACAATTTGTGCAGTTAACGCAATCATCACAGGGTCCTGAGGGGACAGACATCCTCAGCTTATGAAGATGATGGCATTAAGGGATTAAAGTAAAGACAGGTATAGGAGATTATAACAGTATTGATTGGGGAAGTGATGTCCATGAAATCTTCACAATTTATGTTCAGAGACTGCAGTAAAGATAGGCGTAAGAAATTATAAAAGTATTAATTTGGGGAATTAATAAATGTCCATGAAATCTTCACAATTTATGTTCTTCTGCTGTGGCTTCAGCTGGTCCCTCCATTCGGGGTCCCTGGCTTCCTGCAACAGGCTGAAGTTTTTCTTTTAGGTTAAAATAGAGATAAGATTGATCAAACAGACTCTTTGTGGCAATAAGATACCAAATTATAAACAAGACCTAAGGCCATGGCAGGCAAAGGCTGATTCACACCCTACTAACCATAAACCCTTGTCAAACTTTTTTTTTTTTTAATTAACCTGGTACAATGTGGCTTCCTTTCCAAACTGGTTCTGGATGAGCACACATGACAGAATGGAAATAAAAATATTTTTCTGTGAAATATATTTCTTTGACATATTTTGGAATGGCACTGCAAAGCTGTCTTTCGGCTGGGCGCGGTGAACTCACGCCTGTAATCCCAGCACTTTGGGAGGCTGAGGCAGGTGGATCATAAGGTCAGGAGATTGAGACCATCCTGGCTAACACGGTGAAACCCCGTCTCTACTAAAAAATACAAAAAAGTAGCCGGGCACAGTGGCAGGCGCCTGTAGTCCCAGCTACTCGGGAGGCTGAGGCAGGAGAATGGCGTGAACCTGGGAGGCGGAGCTTGCAGTGAGCCGAGATTGTGCCACTGCAGTCCAGCCTGGGCAACAGAGCGAGACTCCATCTCAAAAAAAAAAAAAAAGCTATCTTTTGTGGGGGAAATTAATTTGCATCTGTAGAGAATGTCCATTAACATATCCAGGCCTTGCCTGGATCTAGGAGAGATTTGCTGACAGCTTGACACCTTTAAAGTCTGAAAAGAGACATTTGCCATCCATTTTCTCGGAGGGCTGCTAGAAACCTATGAGGCTTTCATTTACATAACAAGGGCCTTCACCCCCACAACTGCCTTAACTCAAGCATTCTTTTCTACTTACTTCAGGTCTTTAGACGGTAGCTTAACTCTTTTTGACTCCCCCAAAACGTAATATAAATAATAGCTTAACTCTCTCAAATGGCAAGTAAAGAATCTGTAAAACCCACGTATGACTTGTAAGCCCCTGCTCTGGGATAGCCTGCCGTTCAGGCTGAACCAAACGTATACCTTCCATGCACTGACTTACATCTTTGCCTGTAACTCCTGTTTACCTAAAATGTATAAAAGTAAACTGTTACCAGCCAGGCACAGTGGCTACTGCCTGTAATCCCAGCACTTTGGGAGGCCAAGGCGGGTAGATCACCTGAGGTCAGGAGTTTGAGACCAGCGTGACCAACATGGTGAAACCCCATCTCTACTAAATAGAAAAAATTAGCCAGGCGTGGTACTGCACGCCTGTAATCCCAGCTACTTGGGAGCCTGAGGCAGGAGAATCGCTTGAACCTGGGAAGCAGAGGTTGTGGTGAGCTGAGATTGTGCCACTGCACTCCAGCCTGGGCAACAAGAGTGAAACTCCATCTCAAAAAAAAAAAAAAAAAAGGAAACTGTCTCACGTGTCCTTGTGAAGAGACCACCAAACAGGCTTTGTGTGAGCAACACGGCTGCTTATTTCACCTGGGTGCAGGCAGGCTGAGTCCAAAAAGAGAGTCAGCAAAGGTGGTGGGATTATCATTAGTTCTTATAGGTTTTGGGATAGGCGGTGGAGTTAAGAGCAATGTTTTGGAGGGCAGGGGGAGGATCTCACAAAGTACATTCTCAAGGGTGGGGAGAATTACAAAGAACCTTCTTAAGGGTGTGGGAGATTATAAAGAAACTTCTTAAGGGTAGGGGAGATTACAAAGTACATTGATCAGTTAGTGTGGGGCAGAAACAAATCACAATGGTGGAATGTCATCAGTTAAGGCTATTTTCACTTCTTTTGTGTATCTTCGGTTGCTTCAGGCCATCTGGATGTACATGTGCAGGTCCCTGGGGATATGGTGGCTTAGCTTGGGCTCAGAGGCCTGACAGAAACTGTTACCTGGGTACCTTGTGACCACTTAAGGCTTTTTGGGTTTGTGTTTTTTCCAGGCCACAGTCACTTCTACTGGTTCAGAATAACCCTCTTGAAAACATTTTTACAGGGTCTGGTTTTTCTGTTAACACTGCACGTGTGCTAGACTCTGACCAGCCAGTGCAGGGTCTGAGAGTCAAGACAGCAGTGAGGTGAGTTCAGGCAGCGCTCAGCAAGGTGCCTTGCCCCAGCCAGTTGGGTTTAGGCAGGGCTGTGCCTAGAAATGAACAGTGTTCACCCTTTAATACCTACGGATGGGTGGAGACTTCTGGCAGGAAGTCACTTTTAGGGGATGGTCCCTTGGATCAGATCGAGGTCACTTCTATCTAGGACATCAACTCCTGCAGTGATGAGTTACAGGAACCCAGTGCAGCCCAGCAGCACTGCCCCTGAGCCTCCTGGGCAAGAAAAGCCACCTCACCCTTTTCTACCTGATTCCTGGGAGCCGATGAAGGTAAAGGAAAAGGGACAGGTCGGCTCTGGAGGGTGGCAGACCACTGGGCTGTTCCCATTGTCACAGGGCAAACCCCCAAAGTAGGACTCAGCCTGTGAGACCACGTGGGTTCCTGGCTTCCCACGGGAAGGAACTCAAAAGTGAGCCAACAGAATGAAGTGAAAACAGGTTTATGAAGGAAGTAAAGGAATAAAAGCGTGACTACGTCATAGGCAGAGCAGCCCTGAGGGGTGCCAGTTGGCTTTTATGGTAATTTCTTAATCGTATGCTAAAAAGGGGTGGACTGTTCATGAGTTTTCCAGGAAAGGGGTGGGCAATTCCCGGAACTGAGGGTTCCTCCCTGTTTCAGACCACATAGGGTAACTTTCAGGGGTGGCCATAGCATTTGGAGACTGTCATGGCTGGTGGGAGTGTCTTTTGGCAGCTGATGCGTTATAATTAGCATATAAGGAGCAGTGAGGACAGGCGGAGGCTGCTTTCATCACCATCCTGCTTTTGGTGGAGTTTGGAGGCTTCTTTACCACATCCTGTTTTATCAGCGGGTCTTTGTGACCTCTATCTTGTGAAACAAGTCCTGCCAAATTCCTACCTCACCATCTCCCCCACAGCAACCTCCTGAGCTCACAGCGCTCCTGGCCAGCTGGGACTGCGTTGTGTCCCTCCCTCTCTCTTGCCCCAGAGGTCCACACATTGAGTAAGCCAACAACTATTTATTGAACACCTACTGAGCATTAGGGAAACAGTGGGGGCGAAACAGACATGACCCTAGCAGCCGCATTTAATGGGGTGAGTAGTCTCCCTCCCCAACGTGGAAACCATGTGGGAAGTGAGATGCCGGTGACAGCGAGGATGCTGAGACCAGGCATAGGGGTCTGTCTACCTCAGTGACCGGGAGCCTCTTTTCCTAGACACCTTGGGGGCCAGGGACAAAGGGCAGGCACTATAGCTACTGTTTAGGGAACTCTAGAGCCTGGCCTGCTTGTGCCTTTCCCTGTAGGGCGCTTGAACTTATCACACTGGGCCTTAGTGTCTCCATCAGTAAAAGAAAAAAGATACCTATCTGCATTCTCTACTTATGGAGATAATGGAGGTTTCCCATAGGAACGGAAACATTTATCCAGAATTTTAAGCAGGGGACTTGTGGATAGAAAGCTAAGCGAGGCTGTCAGCTCTCATTTTTTAAGTAGATGTTATGCATAGCACAACAGAGCTACACAGAGCCGACACTTTAACAAATCTGGTGCATGACTCACAAGGCATGTTCTCAAGACATGGCTGACACGATCCTAACTGCCTACCAGTAATAAACAGAACAAGGGGTTTGGGATCCTATTGATGCTAGGGCATCTGCTGAGCACTACATAGGCCATGGAAAAGCACGCACCATATTTCACAGCAAAAACCTCTTCTCCTGAGAGGAGCTCTTGCTGCTCTCCTACATGACAAAAACATGAGTCTCCTCCCATCTATTCACCACCTACCCACACTGCGTTTTCTAAAGCCTTTTTGGCAACAGGGATGGGTTTTGTGGAAGACAAATGTATTATTCCATTTTCATACTGCTATAAAGAACTGTCCGAGACTGGGTTATTTATAAAGGAAAGAGGTTTAATTGACAGTTCAGCATGGCTTGGGAGGCCTCAGGAAACTTACAATCATGGCAGGAGGTGAAGGGGAAGCAAGGCACCTTCTTCACAAGATGGCAGGAAGGGAAAAGTGCCAAGCAAAGGGGGAAGAGCCCCTTATAAAACCATCAGATCTCGAGACAACTATCAAGACAACAGCATGGGGGACTCATCCCCGTGATTCAATTACTCCACCTGGCTTCTCCCTCGACACGTGGGGATTATAGGGATTATGGGATTACAATTCAAGATGAGATGTGGGTGAAGACACAAAGTCTAGCCACGTCAACAACTTTTCCACAGGTGGTGGAAAAAAATTCTTCCAGAGATGGATGGGGTAGTGGTTTCGGGATGAAACTATTCCACCTCCCATCATCAGGCATTAGATTCTCATGAGGAGTGCACAACCTAGATCCCTCGCATGTGCAGTTCACAACAGGGTTCACACTCCTCTGAGTCCAGTGCTGCTGCTGACAGCAGGCAGAGCTCAGTTTAGCTCCCTTGCTTGCCTCCTGCTGCACCGCCTGGTTCCTAACAGGCCACAGACAGGTGCTGATACTGGTCCGTGGCCTGGGGTTTGGAGATTCCTGCTCTAAAAAGTGGATTTACCCTCATCATCCCAGGGCCCCTCAGCCTCTAAGAAAAGAGGCCTCTTGGTCACAAAGGTGGACAGACCCATTAAGCTCTGGGTGAGCAACCCCGTCTCCAGCACCTCATGTCCCACAATGTTTGTGTGTTGGGGAGGGGTCCATCTCACGCGATTAATCTCAAGGCAGGAGAGCCCATGTCTGTTTTATGCCCCATTGTTTCCCTAGAAAGCATCGTTCACCCAGAGACTGCAGCAAACCTCAGCAGCTCTCATCATTGTCACATTGTCATAGACTCTGGGCTAAAAAGCTACTGCTCCCCAGAAAAGTTAGAGCCCTTTAAGATGTGTGTTCAGACACCTGGCATAAACAACATTTCCAGAAAAATGGTGTAAAATGTTAGATCATCTAGTCATAAAAATATGAAGGAAAACAAATCTAAGCAGTTTGTGGATTAGATTTTAACTTTGAACAAGGTGAGAGGCCTGGTAGCTCACACCTGTGATTCCAGCACTTTGAGAGGCTGAGGTAGGAGGATCGCTTGAGCTCCTGGGCTGGGGCCAGGATGTACGGTCCTCAGTAAGGCTTCTGAATAAAACTAACTTTAATTCTTTAAAAGCTTAACTGTTTTTCTTTAGTCAACAAGGTATTTTACATTCTTCTCCTACGTTAAGTCATTGAAATCTGTGTGTATTTTACGACAAAGCGCTACAGCACGGCCTGGCAAACAGTGTGAGGCACGAAATGATCCTTTGTAGAGTGAGGAAGGTATCAGAACTTACATTTTATTCAGCTTTATAAATATTTAATATTTTGGGTAACACCAGCATCCTTACAAGGAATGTTTATCAGAAGGTCAATTATCTGTCATGGATAAATTCTGGTGCCAGAATGAGATTCACTCTTGGAGAAGGCTGCATTTACTTGTTCACCCTTGAAATACTGCAATCCACCGACTTCTTGATAAAAGGATGCTCTGGTTTTCTGTTTATTTTTGAGATGGAGTCTCTGTCGCCCAGGCTGGAGTGCAGTGGCGCAATCTCGGTTCACTGCAACCTCCACCTCCGGGGTTCAGGAGATTCTCCTGCCTCAGCCTCCAGAGTAGCTGGGACTACAGACACCCGTCACCACGGCCAGCTAATTTTTGTATTTTTTTTTTAGTAGAGATGGGGTTTCACCATTTTGGCCAGGCTGTTCTCGAACTCCTACACTCATGATCCGTCTGCCTCGGCCTCCCAAAGTGCTGGGATTACAGGCGTGAGCCACCAGGCCTGGCCAGGATGCTCTGGTTTTAACTAAAATTAACCTTCATAAAAGGAGAGCTTTTCAAGCACTCCTAGAAAGAAGCTGTGGATTAAAGATGTGCCCAGCGATGCAAGCCAGATTTGTGACCATAAGAAAGGACAGGACCGGGCTCATGCCTGTAATCCCAGCATTTTAGGAGGCTGAAGCGGGCAGATCATGAGGTCAGGAGTTCAAGACCAGCCTGACCAACACGGGGAAACCCCATCTCTACTAAAAATACAAAAATTAGCCGGGCGTGGTGGTGCATGCCTGTAATCCTAGCTACTCAGGAGGGTGAGGAAGGGGAGTCGCTTGAACCGGGAGGCAGAGGTTGCAGTGAGCCAAGATTGCGCCACTGCACTCCAGCCTGGGGAACAGAGCGAGACTCTGTCACACACACACACACACACACACACACACACACACAAAATAGCGGGGCGCGGTGGCTCACGCCTGTAATCCTAGCACTTTGGGAAGCCGAGGTGGGCGGATCATGAGGTCAAGAGATCAAGACCATCCTGGCCAACATGGTGAAACCCGGTCTATACTAAAAATACAGAAAATTAGCTGGGCGTGGTGGCGCGTGTCTGTAGTCCCAGCTATTTGGGAGGCTGAGGCAGGAGAATGGCGTGAACCTGGGCGACAGAACTTGCAGTGAGCTGAGATCGCGACACTGCACTCCAGCCTGGGCGAACCGAGCAAGACTCCGTCAAAAAAAAAAAAAAAAAAAAAAAAAAAAAAGGACAGAGCTGGCGCTCGTGGAAATACAATTTTCCCAAAGTTAAAAACATGATTCTCAACAGCATGAACTGCCCTTCAAAGATGATGGAGCTGCTTCAAAAGGCGTTAGAGGAGCTGGGTACGAAGAAGCACTTAAAGTGTCAGATAAGAAAGCGGTTAGTGGCTGCGCGTGGACACCTGTGGTCCCAGGTGCTCTGGAGGCTGAGGCGGGAGGATCGCCTGTGCTCGGGAGGTGGAGGCTGCAGTGAACCGAGATCGCGCCATGGCACTCCAGCCTGGGCGACAGGGCCAGACTGTCTCAAAACAAACAAACGAACAAACAAAAAGCAGGTTAAGATGCACAACTGGTTAAAGTTCTGCTGGGCAATTAAAAAATGATCCCGTCTGGGTTATCTTTGCTGCAGGACACGCATTAGCAGCACCGTCTACTGACAAGTGGCCTTCATTAAGAGCAAATTGCAGGCTCAGCATGTATTTTATTTATAACAGCTGCTTGCCGGGCACAGTGGCTCATGCCTGTAATCCCAGCACTTTGGGAGGCCAAGGCAGGCGGATCACCTGAGGCCCCGCAGTTCAAGACCAGCCAGGACAACCCTAACCCCCGCCTCCCCCAACCCCGTCTCTACAAAAAAATTTAAAAAATTAGCCGGGCGTGGTGGCGCGCGCCTGAGGTCCCAGCTACTCCAGAGGCTGAGGCGGAGGCTACAATGAACCCTGATCCTACCACTGCACTCCAGCCTGGGCGACGGAGCGAGACCCTGTCTCCAACTCACCAGGCAAACGGTGAAGACACACCCAGGCGCGTCCCCTAAGAGGGACGCCGGCTTCAGGGGCCCTGGCCCTCCCCAGCGCAGACCCGCCGGAGCCCAGCGCCGCGCCGGGGCCCACCACCGGCGGCCGTGAGGGTTTCCACTCGAATCTCCCCGGCGAGCTGGGCGCCTCCACTACGGGTCTGCGACGCAGTCCACCCACTGCGGGCCCGAGAGAGGACCCGTGCTCGTCATTTTTATTCGAGGCGGGGCTATCTGGGGACCCCGCCCGGAGCGGAGGCCCCTCGCGGCCCCAGCCTGTTTCCAGGGAATTCAGGTCCACACGCCGCTCAAAGAACCTCAGCGCCCCAGTCCGCGAAATCCCGCGGCCGGTACGAAACACCGCCAACTTTAGAAGTACCACCCCCTCCATCCCTTTCGTAAGGAACTGGGTGCCCCGCCCTCAACGAGATCCCGCGGGAACTGCATATGGCGCGAGAGCAGAAACACCTTACTTTTCCCTGCGGCAAACGCCCAGTTCCCTTTCACGTGACGAAGAGTGCCCCGTCCCCCAGAGGCGTGGCCGCGTCGCGCGTACGCACGTACGCACGTACGCACGCACGTCTCTCGCTTTCGCATACTTAAGGCGTCTGTTCTCGGCAGCGGCACAGCGAGGTCGGCAGCGGCACAGCGAGGTCGGCAGCGGCACAGCGAGGTCGGCAGCGGCACAGCGAGGTCGGCAGCGGCAGCGAGGTCGGCAGCGGCACAGCGAGGTCGGCAGCGGCAGCGAGGTCGGCAGCGGCGCGCGCTGTGCTCTTCCGCGGACTCTGAATCATGGCGACCACGGCCACGATGGCGACCTCGGGCTCGGCGCGAAAGCGGCTGCTCAAAGAGGAAGACATGACTAAAGTGGAATTCGAGACCAGCGAGGAGGTGGATGTGACCCCCACGTTCGACACCATGGGCCTGCGGGAGGACCTGCTGCGGGGCATCTACGCTTACGGTGAGCGGGCGCGGGCCGCGGGGGCCAGCCGGGGGCGAGTCGGGGGCGAGCCGGGGGCTGAGGGCCAGACTGGTGACTCCCGGGCCGGCCCTGCGCTCCGGAGGTCGTGGTCAGGGTCGAGGCTCGGGGGCCAGTGACGTCCGACCCCCACCCCCACCCCCGTCCTCGCCCTCACGCCTGGCTGTGTCGGCGCTTTCGGTGTGTGTCCCCCGTGCAGAGCTCGGCGCTGGGTCTGTCGGGGGCTGCAGCCGCTTCGAGGCACCTCAGCGTCCTTCATTCAGCAGATAACTGATTTCTACCTATTAGCTTTTCTAGGTACTGGGGTTTTGGCGGTAAACCGGAAGGGTTTGCGCCTTTACGGGTTTTGAATTTCGTTTGGGGGGAAAGCATACTGTCAGGTTGCCCAGGCAACCTGAAGAACCTGAAGCGGGGTAATTGAATAGAGTGGGACTGGGAAGGAGGAGAGAATTAGTAAAGCAGAGAGGTAAGGGGGTTCGCAGGAGGGGGTGCCATTTGAGCAGAGTTCTGGATGAAGGAGACTGTTATGAGAAGAGGGAAGAGCAGTTGGGGCAGAAGGAACAGCTGGTGCCAGGGCCTTGCAGCCCTTAGCCAGCTGCATTCCAGGAACTGAAAGAAGTCCCCTGTGGTGGGATTTTGGAGAGCTAGTCGGGGCAGATCTAGCAAAGACGTGTAGGGTGACGAATAATTTGAATTTCATTTAGAAATCTAGTGGGAAGCCAGTGGAAGGTTTTAAGTAGCTATGTGACACGATCACATTTACAGTTTTAAAGATTCTTCTGGGTGTCTGTAGATTTGAGGTGAGGCGAGGCAAGGCAGGAGAGGAAACAAGAGAGTTGGGAGCTTTTGCTGCAGTTCAGGGAAGAGAGGATTGTGCTGCCTTGGAGATGGAGTACCAGGGAGCTGACAGCATTGGCTGATGGATTGAACGTGAGTGACAGAAGGAGGAGAGTTGGAGTGTTTTGAGTAACCGGTGGTTGATGCTGCAAACATTTGGCTAGGTAGGCAGCACTCCAGAGAGTCAGAATCAGGAGCTGTCTCTTGGTATGTTTGAAAGATGTGAGGAAGTTGAGGGAGAGCCTGGAGAAGAGGTTGGGTTGGGCACATAGATGGGAATGACCAGCATCTGGGATAAATGGCCTGTGTTTAATGCTTGGGACAGGGACATTTTTTATCCTGTAGTTCTCTTCCTTTTCTTTCTTCCTTTTCCTTCTGACAGTCCTGCTCTTGTCACCAAGGCTGGAGTGTAGTGGCATGATCTCAGCTTATTGCAACTTCCACTTCTGGGGCTCAAGCGATTCCTTTGCCTCAGCCTCCCGAGTAGCTGGGATTATAGGTGTGGGCCACCACGTCCTACTAATTTTTGTATTTTTAGTAGGGAGGGGATTTTGCCATGTTGCCCAGGCTGGTCTTGAACTCCTGACCTCAGTGATCCACCAGCCTCAGCCTCCCAAAGTGATGGCATTACAGGTGTGAGCCACCCCACCTGGCCGTATCCTGTAGTTCTTGATGCCACAACAGTTTGGACAAAGTGAAGCGAAGTTGCTGAGGATGCGTGGTGAAAAAGCATCTCAGGCAGCCTCACAGTGAGGCTGACAGCCCCACCTGGTTTCCTGGCACTCAGGCAGTCCCTGCCCTAAGACACTGTTGTTAGTTTCCCATCTATGTGCTTGCTCTTCATGAAGAGTTTAAATCATCTGCTATATTTGCATTTGTGTTAAGATGGGAAATTGTGCTACATTTTCTTTTGTTTCTTATTTTTCGCTATGCCCCAGAACTGAGCAGAGCTACATTTAAGAGACTACCAAAAAATAATTGAAATAGAGTTTTTGTACATAAAATTTTATTTACTTGAAAAACACGTGGTTCTTCTTCAAAATAGCCTCACCCTTTGGTGTAGTAGTTGCTTTGCAAGAGAGATGGTGTGATGGTGTTGTAGTTAGTGAGCTGCATCCAGACAGAACAACATAGGACACCCTGCAGCGTGACCCACGCAGGTTAAACAGAGTTGTAGACCTGTCAGCAACACACAGACTTAATGCTAGCTAGTAGGAGAGAACAATGGCTAGAGTGACTTTCCTGTTTTTTTGTTGTTTTTTTTTTTAATTTAAAAAGTAGTATAGGTTGTTTGTAATCCAGTCAAACCTAAGGGAGTAATTAGAGTAAAAAGTAAGTTTCTTTCCACCCCTCTACTGCAGTAACTGCCAGGAACATTTTGGCACTTACACTTCCAGATGCTGCACACCCAGATTTTTTTTTTTTTTTAAACAAAACTGTTGTCTATATTCTACAATTTGGTGGTTTTTTAAAAATAGAGATTGGTCTTTACAAATAATATCCCACGTTAGTGTAGAAATCACTCAGCCCAATTCATTGAGCCCCTGGGTTTTGAGAGCTTGCTATGTTGAACACTGGGTTAGGCTGGAGGACAGGTTCAAAAAACAAACCATGTCTGCCCCTGAGGAGCTCACAGTACAGGGTTTCTATGCTGTCATTGTGGTGAGGGCTAATTTTTTGTTTTTATTTGCAGGTTTTGAAAAACCATCAGCAATCCAGCAACGAGCAATCAAGCAGATCATCAAAGGGAGAGATGTCATCGCACAGTAAGTTGTCCTGGGGTGCGGCGCAGGGCTGGATGTAAATTTGGGCAGCGCAGTGCAGTTAGATGCTCTGGGATGACTGTTTCCCTCAGCTTGTACACGCTCAGTTCCAACACTTTCCCTGACTTTAGCCACAGGGTTTAATACTTTTTTAAATTTGTGTTCTCTACTGTGGAAAGCTTTCATTTTCTTTTTGAGATGGAGTCTCGCTCTGTTGCCCAGGCTGGAGTGCAGTGGTGCCATCTCGGCTCACTGCAACCTTTGCCTCTCAGTTTCAAGCTATTCTCCTGCCTCACCCTCCCAAGTAGCTGGGATTACAGGCATGCACCACCATGCCCGACTAATTTTCATATTTTTAGTAGAGACGGGGGTTTCACCATGTTGGTCAGGCTGGTCTCAAACTCCTGACCTCAGGTGATCCACCCTCCTTGGCCTCCTAAAGTGCTGGGATTTCAGGCATGAGTTACTGCGCCCGGCCAAGGCTTTCATTTTCTTAGCCAGCTTTGCTTAGTGGTTTGCTGGCATGTGGAATTGTATATAACACAATTTCGGAAAAACAGACTGTGCTTTTCCTCTGCTCTCACACCACCACAACAGTCATCAGCACAGAAGAAGACTTCTGTGAGCAGAGGTGTGGGGCTTTTCCAGCTGGGTGTCCTCCAGTTCAACTCACACCACCTGCCTGGAGATAGGCCATATCCTGCAGGTTGACGGCTCAGTCCCCATGACTACCCTCTTTTCAGACACCAGTTATAAGTTCGGATCTCTAGAACTTCTGACCAAGCAGCTTCAAGTTGGGTTCCCAGGATCCCCTCTTTAGGTTGGATTAATTTGCTGGAACAGCAGCTCAAAGAACTCAGGGAAACACATTTAGTGGTTTATTATAAAGGGTACTGCAGAGGATACAGATATGGGGGGAGGGGTGCAGCCTCCAAGGGGCGGGTGGTCACCTCCCGGAACCTCCTTGTGTTCCACTGTCTGTGTTCAGCCATCTAGAAGCTCTTCGAACCCAGTCCTCTTGGGTTTTTATGGAAAATTCCATGAGGTCAGCATTCTTTCCCCCATAAGGGAATAGGGCAGGAGCTTTTCTGGGATAATACCATAATGCTTTTTAAAAAAAAATTTGAAATTTAAATTTTTTACATTTTTCGAGACAGGGTCTTACTCTGTCTCCCAGACTGGAGTGCAGTCGTGTGATTACAGCTCATAGCAGCCTCAAGCGATCCTCCCACCTCACCCTCCCAAGTAGCTGGGACTACAGGCACACATCACCATGCCCAATTAATTTTTGTATTTTCTGTAGAGACAGGGTTTTGTTGTGTTGCCCAGGCTGCTCTCAAACTCCTGGCAATCTGTCTGCCTTGGCTTCCCAAAGCCTTGGGATTACAGGCGTGAGCCACTGTGCCCGGCCTAAACATTTTTTTTGTTAAGATATGGGGCCTCACTTCGTCACCCAGGCGGGAATGCAGTGGTGCAGTCATAGCTCACTGCAACCTCTAACTTCGAGGATTAAGGAATCGTCCCGCCTCAACCTCCCAAGTAGCTGGGACTGCCAGAATGTGCCACCGTTCCTGGTTAGTTTTTTGTTTTGTTTAGAAATGGGGTCTCTTGCTGTATTGCCCAGGCTGGTCTCGAATTCCTGGCTTCAATTAATGCTGCCTCTGCGTCCCAGAGTGTTGGGAATACAGGCCTGAGCCACCACGCCGTGACATGAGGGTCTTTATGACTCACAATCTGAAAGGCAGGGAAGATTAGAGCCCTGCTGTGGAGCAGGTGAAAGGAGAGCAGAAGGTCAGAGAGATTGTTTCCTGAGGCCTAACCCATCAATTTAATAAGACTGTAATAAGGGCTATGGGAGCTGTGAGCCAGGAACTATGGATGAAAACTTGTATATAGCCATATCTCCTAGCACCACAAATCCTCTTTTAATAGCTTTATTCCTCGTTTGCCTAATTTCAAAAAAGACTCATTTACACAAAAATTTCTTTGGAAGAGAGAGTTAGTCCAAAATCCTAGAAGGAAAAGAGTTGTATTTAGATAAAGGGGAGTCCTCCTTTTTCTGACACCTATGAAACACCTCTTGAAGTTAGAGAGTCTGTGGCTCCATTGCCCCCGTGCAGAAGCCATGTCTACTCTCTTTCTTCATGGACACTTAACAAGCTGTGACACTGGGCCCGAGTCCTGCCTCCTCGCAGTTAAGATGTTATTAGGTACGGGGGCTTGCTGGAAGAAGGTACCTAAGTGCCTCTGGAGCCCAGGCCTTGGAGTGCAGCTGTGGCGTGGCCTGTCCTCCCTCTAATCCCACTGCTTTTGTTTCCTTGAATAGGTCTCAGTCCGGCACAGGAAAAACAGCCACCTTCAGTATCTCAGTCCTCCAGTGTTTGGATATTCAGGTAATTTGCCATTCTTAAAACAAACTGTTATGTAATTCTAGGAAATACTTGCTTTTTCTTCTGTAACTACAGTGTTCAAAAAGTACAATTTAAAATTTTCTAGTATGTATTGACTCAGCAAATTTTTACACAGAGTCTTAGTTGTACACTAATATATGCACTAATATTCTGTCATGATTTTCTATTTAACTAGAGGAAGCTCTTGTCTGCAGACGAGGATGCTGACACATTAAGTTATTGTTGGATTTGCAATTTAAATGACAATATTTGCTAACCTGTAAGAGATGAGAAGTATGATTAATATGAGATAGTATTTCTCATATAGATCTGAGTGTGAATTACTACAATCCACTTTGATAATACTGCGGATTCTCTATTTTCTGATAAATTATTTCACCAGGTTCGTGAAACTCAAGCTTTGATCTTGGCTCCCACAAGAGAGTTGGCTGTGCAGATCCAGAAGGTGAGATGGCTAAAGATAGCGGTGTCCGATTAACAAGTACTGCTTTTGTGATTTAGTTGTGAAACACCGACTTATTTATTTAATCCAATCCTGTTTTCTGATACCTCAAAATTTTCTTCCTGATTAACATTTTGCCATTAATCATTATATAAATTGCTGGTTTGTATTAAGTCATTTTTGGTGTGGCTTGTGTGCTCTCGGTAGTTTTTTACAGCCTTAGAAATGTAGATTTTTTGCGAAAAATCAATTTTAATAAAAATAAATTAGGTCGAGGTGGGTGGATCACCTGAGGTCAGGAGTTTGAGACCAGCCTGGTCAACATAGTGAAACCCTGTCTCTACTAAAAATACAAAAAATTAGCTGGGCGTGGTGGCAGGCGCCTGTAATCCCAGCTACTTGGGTGGCTGAGCAGGAGAATCACTTGAACCCGGGAGGCAGAGGTTGCAGTGAGCTGAGATTGTGCCGTTGTACTCTAGTCTGGGCAAGAAGAGTGAAACTCTGTCTCAAAAAAAAAATAAATTGTACCCATTTTATACTTAACGTAGTATAAAGATGTATGTTTAAAAAGATGTATATTAAGATGTTAATGCTGGTTTCTTCGGTGGATGGGATTATGAATTTTATATATTCTTTTCTGTTAATGATATAGCTTTTGTAATAAGAAACCAGCAGGCCGGGTGTGGTGGCTCACGCCTGTAATCCCAGCACTTTGAGAGGCTGAGGCAGGCCAATTACGAGGTCAGGAGATAACGACTCTCTGAATACACATATAGGGTGCACACAGCACGGTGTGCTAACACGGTGAAACCCCATCTCTACTAAAAATACAAAAACAAAATTAGCCTGGTGTGGTGGCGGGCGCCTGTAGTCCCAGCTACTCAGGAAGCTGAGGCGGGAGAATGGCGTGAACCCTGGAGGCGGAGCTTGCAGTGAGCTAAGATTGCGCTGCTGCCCCCCAGCATGGGCCACAGAGTGAGACTCCGTCTCAAAAAAAAAAAAAAAAAAGCAAAATTAACTTGTTTTTGTCAGAGAAAAGAGCAGGAGAATTTTGTGGTTTCGAGATAATAATGGCATAAATAATAATCGGTGATCATCTCGGAGGAGAAACAGTCTTTCTTTTTGGAAAACGTGGATGTTTCTCTCTCCCACCCTGGACGTGAACCTGTGCTTTGTTTCAGGGGCTGCTTGCTCTCGGTGACTACATGAATGTCCAGTGCCATGCCTGCATTGGAGGCACCAATGTTGGCGAGGACATCAGGAAGCTGGATTACGGACAGCATGTTGTCGCGGGCACTCCAGGGCGTGTTTTTGGTAAGCACTTTTGTCGCTAAAAATGGTGCTGCCGGTAGTATTTGTAAGAAGTGCTTAAATGGTACAGGACAGCTTTCGATTTGGTAGGCCGCACGGTAGACTTTTGCACCTGGGTCACTTGCAGGAGGTAGAGGGAAGGTCTCTGGAACCCTGAGACCAGTGGAATGATGAGCTCTTTCTTGGGAGCCTCAGGTGTGATTATTTCAAAATCTCATAGATGTGATTTGTCGTAAGTATTTCAAAATCTCATGTTATAGATATGATTCGTCGCAGAAGCCTAAGGACACGTGCTATCAAAATGTTGGTTTTGGATGAAGCTGATGAAATGTTGAATAAAGGTATGAGCAACAAAAGAATTACTCTTCTACTGACATAATTCTTAGTTCTTAAATTTTCACAGTGTAAAATTGAAACAGCCAGTGACTGTTCTGAATGTGAATAGTGTTTTCATCGTGGAAAAACAATTGTGCCTTGGCAATTATGAACAAAAAATTCCTACCTTGATTTTATTTATTTGTTCATTGTGGGTGACTCAGGCCAGCCTCTATTGCTTTTTATTTGGTATCTAGGACTCTCGGGGTGGGTTTCTTGATCCCTAGATCACTTCAGATTGAAGAAGCACCAAAGGGAAACCAGATTCCCTCAACCAGATAACACTCCGGTGGGCGGGGAGTAGGGACGGAGAGAACGCGTGGATGTGGCCTGGTGCTGTAAAAATGAGATTTCCTGTCAAACGTACCTTATCACCACTCTGCCTCTAACCCAGTGGGAACACTGGGCGTGCACCTTCCATTTCTGGGTGTGCCGCCCTAAACATCCCTCACCTGTCTTGCTCCCTGTCCCAGGTTTCAAAGAGCAGATTTACGATGTATACAGGTACCTGCCTCCAGCCACACAGGTGGTTCTCATCAGTGCCACGCTGCCACACGAGATTCTGGAGATGACCAACAAGTTCATGACCGACCCAATCCGCATCTTGGTGAAACGGTAGGAGCCCCTCTTGTCAAGTTTACTAAAACACTGGGCCGCATTTATAAAGGATTTTATGTCGTAATTTCAAAAACTTTTTATAGCCAGAGTCTGGCTGTGTTGCTGAAGCTCGTGTCAAAACCCGGACCTCAGGCTATCCTCTTGCCTGAGTGTAAAGGAATTGAAAGCATGCAAATTCTTTTAAAATTCCTGTTTTAAAAAACCAAATAGGCTGGGCAACATATAGAGACCGTATCTCTACCAATAATAAAAAATTAGCCAGGTAGGGCGGCACATGCCTATAGTCCCAGCTACTCAGGAGGCTGTGGTGGGAGGATCGCTTGAGGTCAGGAGGCTGAGGCTGCAGTGAGCTTTGATTGTGCCACTGTACTTCAGCCAGGGCAACAGAGCAAGACCCTGTCTCAAACAAAACAAAACAACCCATCTTTTATAATCCTCATTGTGGTTTGAACCAATAATTCTAAATTTAAAAATTAGGTGACTATTTATTTATCAGTGTTTCGTTTAGAATCGTATTCCATGTGGTGCACATTGTGAAATGTTAAGTAGGATACAGAATGGAGGCCTGTGTGACGGAAGTGGTGATAGGATGGAGGACAGGGCTGGGGCTGCTGGGTCTGCACCAGATATCACGGTGTGACCTTTTCCACCAGGGTCTCCCTGGATCCTGGCTTGGCCCACCCTCAAGTCCTAGAAGGAAGGATGAGTATGTAACAGGATTTGTCTTTGTCCTTCAGTGATGAATTGACTCTGGAAGGCATCAAGCAATTTTTCGTGGCAGTGGAGAGGGAAGAGTGGAAATTTGACACTCTGTGTGACCTCTACGACACACTGACCATCACTCAGGCGGTCATCTTCTGCAACACCAAAAGAAAGGTAAGAGGCACTGCACAGCATCCATGTGCTGAAGGGAAACTGCAGATTGAGTCTCTGAATGACATAAATCAAGATTTTTCAGTAAAGGGCCAGTTTGTCCATATTTTAAGCTTTCAGGGTATGTGTTCTCTTGTAAAAGCAGCTGTAGACAATATGCAAACGGTCAGACGTGGCTGTGACCATTAAAACTTCATTTACAGAACAGCGATATCAGCCACCCCTAAAGATTCAGATTTCGTTGGCTGAAGGTGGAACCCAGGCCTGAGTAGTTTTAGATCCCCAGGTGATGGTAATGTGGAGGCAGACCTGAGAACTGTCGGCCACTTTCCTGAGAAAGGAAAGGAGTTGGGCTACATTCTAACAAGATTGGAATTCAAATTTCAAATGAGAATGAGCACACCTGGCCCCCTCCCCCCATAGAGTCATTATATGGAGAAAATGAAGTAAGAGGGTTTTGTGAGTGCACCCCAACATTTTCTGGGAAAAAGTTTTTACATCCAGTTAGGATGATTCTGAGTTTTAAGAGCAGTTACCTTACGAATATTGATACTGGTTCTGCAAATGATGCGGTAAAGTCCCGAATGCACATCTCTGCTTTGGTATACTAGCTTGCAGTAGCATCTGTTGATTGGATTTGTAGGTGGACTGGCTGACGGAGAAAATGAGGGAAGCCAACTTCACTGTATCCTCAATGCATGGAGACATGCCCCAGAAAGAGCGGGAGTCCATCATGAAGGAGTTCCGGTCGGGCGCCAGGTGGGTCTGCTATGCTGTGGCTCTGCAGGTCAGGGTTTGCTAGACTGTGTCTAAGCACTTCATATGTACCGCCTAAGTGCAGGCCCCACACCCGGGGGGATGCCAAGCTTCTGCTCTGAAAGCTGAGGCCCTGGGTGAGCAGAAAACCTTCCAGTTAAGGAGGGGTCCGCTGTGCTCCTGTAATACTTAGGTTGAGGTGATAACTAGCCTTAACTAGCCAGGTTGGTCACCTTGGTTACAAGCGTGTGTCTTCTTTTCCAGTAAGTAGGGGGGTTTTCTGTTCATCGTTTCGATTAGTTTAATTCCACAGTGGTCAGAAAGCGTGGATTGGGTGGTTTCATTCATTTGAACTTGATTCAGACTTCCTTCTTTGCCCACCTTGTGGTCAGCTTAACATATGTGCTGTGTGTGTCTTTTTTTGTTTGTTTGTTTTTGAGACAGTCTCACTTCGTTACCCAGGCCGGAGTGCAGTGGCACAATCTTGGCTCACTGCAACCTCTGCCTCCTGATTTCAAGTGACTCCTGTGTCTCAGCCTCCCGAGTAGCTGGAATGGCTAATTTTTTTTTTTTTTTTTCATTTTTAGTAGAGATGGGGTTTCACCATGTTGGCCAGGCTGGTCTCGAACTCCTGACCTCAGGTGATCCATCTGCCTCAGCCTCTGGCAGTGCTGGGATTACAGGCATAAGCCGCCGCCATGCCCGGCTGAAGTTACCGTTTTTAATTTTTTGCTAGGCAAAAGTGAAGTATTTTTCCCAATTATTGGTTTAGGACCGATTAAACAAGTTAAAGATAGTCTAGTAAAAGATGTCTATTTTTTTAATCTGATGGAGCACATGACCGAAGTAACTAAATCCACCAACAGCCCCTCTGCACAGGGGTTTCTGGTGCTGTCCCTGAGGCTTCACGTTTGCAGACAGACTGTTGAGAGAGGAGAATCTCGTATATTTTGGACCTGCAGCCAGGATTCCTTAAAATTAGCAATGGAAGCAAGTCCAGTCTTACACTTGTATGAGTAATTTAATCGCCTCAAACACTCTTTCTTTTTGCAGCCGAGTGCTTATTTCTACAGATGTCTGGGCCAGGGGGTTGGATGTCCCTCAGGTGTCCCTCATCATTAACTATGATCTCCCTAATAACAGAGAATTGTACATACACAGGTAAGGTGCAAGCTCTCATTGGCTTCACTTCTGTGACACATTTACTAAATCTTGATTGTTATATATACTAACTGTAATATTATTTTATTCCTGAAGAATTGGGAGATCAGGTCGATACGGCCGGAAGGGTGTGGCCATTAACTTTGTAAAGAATGACGACATCCGCATCCTCAGAGATATCGAGCAGTACTATTCCACTCAGATTGATGAGATGCCGATGAACGGTAGGAAATCGTCCAGCTCTACTGTAATTGTAGAGGGAACTTCCCTATTCTTAGTTTGGGGCACCTGAGTTTGTTTTTTTGTTGTTGTGGGTTTTTTTGTTTTGTTTTTGAGACGAAGTTTCGCTCTGTCACCCAGGCTGGAGTGCAGTGGCGCGATTTCGGCTCACTGCAACCTCTGCCTCCTGGGTTCAAGCAATTCTCCTGCCTCAGCCTCCTGAGTAGCTGGAATTACAGACACGTGCACCATAGCCAGCTAATTTTTGTATTTTTAGTAGAGACGGGGTTTCACCATGTTGGCCAGGCTGGTCTCGAACTCCTGGCCTCAAATGATCTGCCCACCTCAGCCTCCCAAAGTGCTGGGATTACAGGCGTGAGCCACTATGTCTGGCCTGTTTTTTGTTTTGAGAAGTCTGTTGTGAGGTTTTAGTTAAATTTACGTTAACAAATTTTCATTTTGTTTGTGTTGTTCCTTAATCTGTTTCTTTCTTCACTTTCAGTTGCTGATCTTATCTGAAGCAGCAGATCAGTGGGATGAGGGAGACTGTTCACCTGCTGTGTACTCCTGTTTGGAAGTATTTAGATCCAGATTCTACTTAATGGGGTTTATATGGACTTTCTTCTCATAAATGGCCTGCCGTCTCCCTTCCTTTGAAGAGGATATGGGGATTCTGCTCTCTTTTCTTATTTACATGTAAATAATACATTGTTCTAAGTCTTTTTCATTAAAAATTTAAAACTTTTCCCATAAACTCTATACTTCTAAGGTGCCACCACCTTCTCTAGTAACTTACTGTGTAGTCTTGGGTCATTTCACTCACTTTTCTTTTTTTCTTTTCTTTTTCTTTTTTTTTTTTGAGACAGTCTCCCTCTGTTGCCCAGGCAGGAGCGCAGTGGCGTGATCTCCTCTCACCGCAAGCTCCACTTCCTGGGTTCATGCCATTCTCCTACCTCAGCCTCCCACGTAGCTGGGAGTACAGGCGGCCGCCACCATGCCAGGCTAATTTTTTTGTATTTTCAGTAGAGACGGGGTTTCACCGTGTTAGCCAAGATGGTCTCGATCTCCTGACCTCGTGATCCACCCACCTCGGCCTCCCAAAGTGCTGGGATTACAGGCGTGAGCCACTGCACCCGGCCCATTTCACTCACTTTTCTAATCTTTTTTTTTGGAAAGAGTTTCATCGTTGATGAGTTTTGCTCTGCTGCCCAGGCTGAAGAGCAGTGGCACCATCACAACTCATTGCAGCCACAACCTCCTGGGCTCAAGCGATCCTCTCACCTCACCCTCCTGAGTAGCTGGGACTACAGGTGCATGCCAGCACATCTGGCTAATATTTAAATTTTTTGTAGAGACAGGGTCTCACTTTGTGGCCTAGGCTGGTCTGTCACTCATGGGTTTAAGTGATTCTCCCATCTTGGCCTTACAAAGTGCTGGGATAACAGGTGTGAGCCACCATGCCTGGCCTCATTTTTCTAATTTTTTTTTTTTGTTGTTTTTTTGAGAGCCCAGGATCTCCCTGTCGCCCAGGCAGGAGTATAGTGGCAGGATCATGACTTACCACAATGTTGACAAACTAAAACAGATAATTATCTGTTTAAATATTTAAATTATTAAAGTATTTAAGTTATCTGTTGAAATATTTAAAGTAATTACCTGTAGCTTTATAGGCACACAGCACCACAGCTGCCCAATTTTTAATTTTTTAAATGTTTTTAAAGACAGGGTCTCCCTCTGTTGACCAGGCTGGTCTTAAACTCCTGACTTCAAGCAGTCCTCCCGCCTCAGCCTCTCAAAGTGCTGGGATTACACACATGAGCCACAGACCGGGCTCTAATATTTGAAATGGAAATGTTAAAACTGGCCCCTCCCTTCCTGAAATTAGTTGGGATGATAATCTTTATTTCCGGGTTAGGGTGAGCTTGGAAATAATTTTTAAATTTCATCAGGTGATTCTACTTGAAGGCATCTGAAATTCTATAGTTTATGAATGGAACTTCCTTTCACTGAAACTGTGACTGGACCCTTGCTAGCCAGCTGGTGGCTGGTAGACCAGCTGCATCATCAGGAGTTGGTTAGAAATGCAAGTGCTCGGGCCCTGTCCTGGCTTGCTGAGTGAGAACCTGCAGGTAACAAGACTCCCAGGTGGCACTGCTGGCCGAGCGGGAGGAGCACGAGACTACAGGCCCAGGCAGCTTAATGAGTTCCTGGCAAGGAGGAACCAGATACAGGTGTGTTCAGGGCATTTGCTCAGCAGCAGTGGGGAGTGATGCCCACCACAGCTCTGGCCAGTGCCAGCCTCAATGTCCGTATCTGCAGGCGCCTGAGCTCACTGAGGCTCACCTGGTCTCATCAGGAGCTGCTGCCAGGCTTGTGTTAGAGGTGAGGAGTGGCTCAGGTTTCCACACAGTCACTCCGGAGGACGGAAGGCCTCCATTACCAGTAAGAATGATTCTAGATGAATAAGCACGTGGTGTTACAGTGGAGGAGGCAGCATTGGTGCCTTGGGGAGGAGATGGCAGGAGAAGGGGTGGGGCTTAAGCTACCCCACACACTGTCTAGGAAAGGTCATCCTAAAAGGAAAAATACAGCACAAGTGTTCATAAAAATGTCAAACTGTACTGACAAATCAGAAATGGTATGTGATTATCCAAGATTTAAAAACCACCAGTCCTAAAGGTTGACAAGGAAAGTTTCCAGACTTTCTGGAGAGCAGCCTGGCCCTTGGGCAGTCAGTGATGAAAATGCTATTTCCCTTTGGTGGTGTGTGGTTCTGCTGTAGACAGCTGACTGGAATGTGGACTTCTCCAGGAAGTTCAGCGTTGCTCCTGCCTATACCAGGGAAGGATGCTAAGTGCTCATGGATGGGGGCATGGTGCGGGACAGGGTGGAACATTTGCAGTGATGCTGGGAAGAGAAGGATACAAGAGGTAGAGAACTCATGGAGGTTCTTGGGAGGGTGGTTTGGGGCCAGGATCCTCCCAGAGTCCAAATGGAGTCAAGTTCAGGCAGGGGGTCTGCTGAGCCTTGCTAGGTAGGTATCACTGGGCCTCTGGTCAGGTGGAAAAACTGGCTCTAGATCCTGAGGGGCTTCCCAAGGTCCCCAGCAACTAAATCCAGATGAAAAACCCCTGGGTTATGTACTTCATTACAAAAGTATAATCTCACTGAAAAAAAACATACAAATGCATAATTTGAAAAAGTCATCCTTAATCCTCCTACCCAGATATAACTCACAATTTGATGACTGTCCATCCAGTATTTTAATTTATCTTGTACATCTACCTGTACATAAAGACCTTTTTAAGCAAAAATTGTAACCCACTTTGCCATTATTAACTCAGGTTTTTGCTTAGTAATGTATCATACATATTTCACTACGTTAAAAAAAAAAAAGCTACTTTTCCAGCCTCTATACCATGGCTCCTTTGGAAGCAGTTGAAGATTAATTAGAATAATCTTTTATTTGTTTATTTTTTTGAGATGGAGTTTCGCTCTTGTTGCCCAGGCTGGAGTACAATGGTGTGATCTCGGCTCACTGCAACCTCCACCTCCTGGGTTCAAGCGATTCTCCTGCCTCAGCCTCCTGAGTAGCTGGGATTACAGGTGCCCACCACCACACCTGGCTAATTTTTCATATTTCTAATAGAGTTGGGGTTTCACCATGTTGGCCAGGCTGGTCTCAAATTCCTGACCTCACGTGATCCTCCTGCCTTGGTCTCCCAAAGTGCTGGGATTAGGCATGAGCCACTGTGCCCACCCAGAATAATCTTTAGAAGTGATTTTCTTGATCAAGGTACATGTTTCAAATTAACGTTGCAGAAAGATTTTCCACCAATTTATACTCCTAATGGTATATTTTTTTTTTTTTTGTTTTGTTTTTTTTTTTTGGGTGGTTGAAATTTATTCAACAAATACATATAGGATGCCTTGTCTTAAAGCCAGGCAATTTTCCTAAAAGAAAAACCACATAAAAAGGGTTCTAACCAAGAGCTAGAGTGTCCTGACCCTTTGAGGTATGTCTAAAGTATAGAAATAGAATGGTAATGTTGATGCTGTTGGCATGTTTCTTTGTAGTAAGATTGTTTAAAATAATACATAGACATAAAATGTATGACGAAAATAGCACAGCACCGAAGAAAGGAGTAATGGAAGTATACTGTCAAGATTCTTACACTATTACTTGAAGGCAGATTGTGATGAATTAAAGATGTGAAACATATATAAAAGTGTTAAGCAATTTTTAGGTATGAACCTTTAAAGCAATACAAAAATGTGAAACAGAAATAAACAGCCAACGTAGGAGACAAAATAAGAGTTCTAAGGAATACTTAATCTAAGAATCCTGAAAAGGAAGGAAAAGGGAACAGAGAACTTACGAGATGGACAAATACAAAACGGTAGTAGGTTGAAAACAACCGTGTCAATAATTACATTTATTGCAGATTGTCTGTCTCACCTCAAACTAAAAGAAAAGCAAGCTAAACCCAAAGGAAGCAGAAGAAAGGAAATAATAAAGATGAGAGTAGAAATAAATGAATAGAAAAATAATAGAGAAAATCAACAAAACCAACGGTTCATTCTTTGAAAAGATCAACAAAATTGACACATCTTTAGCAAGTCTAAGGAAAAATAGGTTCAAATAACTAAAATCAAGAATGAAAGAGGTGATGGCACAGCCGACTGTACAGAATACAAAGTATCAGTGCCATGGATTGTTTGCCAACAGATGAACCTTGATAAAATGGAGAAATTCCTAGGACAAACAGATTAAATCAGTAACCAAACTTTCAACAAAGGAAAGCCAAGGCTTGTGAATCCTGCCAAACTTTTACAGAATTATCACCATCACAATTTTTTTTTTTTTTTGACGCAGAGTCTCACACTGTTGCCTGGGCTGGTGTGCAGTGGCACAATCTTGGCTTGCTGCAACCTCCGCCTCCTGGGTTCAAGTGATTCCCTTGCCTCAGCCTCCCAGTAGCTAGGATTACAGGTGCCTGCCACCACATCTGGTTAATTTTTTGTATTTTTAGTAGAGACGGCGTTTTACTGTGTTGGCCGGGCTGATCTCAAACTCCTGATCTTGTGATCTGCCCCCGTCAGATTCCCAAAGTGCTGGATCACGAAATCTTTCAAAAAATATAAGGCAGAACATTTCCCAACTCACCCTGAGGCCAGCATTACCTGATACCAAAACAAAGCTACCACAAAAAAAACTAGATCAATATCATATGAATATAGATGTAAAAATCCTCAAAAAACTGGCAAAACAAATCCAGCAACATATAAAAAGGATTGTACACTGACAAAGTGGGATTTATCGCAGGAATGGAAAGTTGGTTTAATATCCAAAAATCTGTCAATGTAATACACCCTATCAATAGAATAAAGGACAAAGTCCACATAATGATTTACAGATGCAGAAAAAGCATTGGACAAAATCCAGCACCTTTTCAAGATAGAAAATAAGAATGGAAGGGGGCTGCTTCAACCTGATAAACAGCATCGATGAAAAACCACAGCATTACCCGCTAAGGTTGGGAACAAAACAAGAATGCTCTTGCCACGTCTATTCCAACATTGTACTGGAAGTTACGAGCCAGGACAATTAAGCAAGAAAAGAAATAAGGCATCCAGATCGGAAAGGAAGAATCAAAACTCTCTAGTCACGGATGACATGATTTATACCTAGAAAATCTTAAGGAATTTACACATTTAAAAAATCACTTATCAGAACTTATAAATGAGGTCAGCAAGGTTGCAGAATATATGTTCAACATAGGAAAGCCAGTGTTTCTGTACACTAGCAGTCTGAACAACCTGAAAATGAAATTAAGAAAATAATTCCATTTACAATTGCATCAAAAAGAGTGAAATATGTAGGAATAAATTTAACAAAAGAAGGGCTATACTTGTTCACCGAAAACTACAAATAGCTTGTTGAAAGGCATTGCAAACCTAAATATATAAATGTCCCAGGTTCATGGATTGGAAGATAACTTTCCCAAACTGATTGATATAGTTAGTTAGGCTTTGTGCCTCCACCCAGATCTCATCTTGAATTGTAATCCCCCTAATCCCCACATGTCAAGGGACAGACAAGGTGGAGGTAATTGAATCATGGGAGCAGTTCCCCCCATGCTATTCTTGTGATAGTGAGTTCTCACAAGATCTGATGGTTTTATAAGGGGCTCTTCCCACTTCACTTGGCACTTCTTGCCACCTTGTGAAAAAGGTTCCTGCTTCGTCTTCGCCTTCCACCATGATTGTAAGTTTCCTGAGGTCTCCCCAGCCACACTGAACTGTGAGTCAATTAAACTTCTTTCCTTTTTAAAGCACCCGGGCTCAGGCAGTTCTTTATAGCAATATGAAAATGGACTAATATACTGCTCTGCAGTGTTTAGGAGAATGTGGAGAAACTGGAACCCCCATACATTGCTAGTGGGATTGTAAACAGGCACAGCCTTTATGGAAAACAGCTTGGCAGTTCCTCAAAATGTTGAACATAGGAGTTGACCTAGCAATTCTCCTCCTAGGTCTATACTCAAGAGAATTAAAAAATCTGCACACATAAACCTAATGTGTTCATAGCATTGTTCATAAGAGCCAAAAAGTGGACACAAGCCAGATGTTCATCAGCTGTAAGCAAAACTGGTGAATCCACACAATATTACTTGGCAATAAAAAGGCATGAAGTGCTGACACACTACAACCTGGATGAACCTCGGCAATATGCTAGGTGGAAGAAGGCAGACACAAAAGGCCACACGTGGTGTGATTCCATTTACATGAAACGTCCTGAACAGGTAGATCCATAGAGAGATTAGCAGGAAACCATTCACAGTGGTTTCAGGAGCTTGAGGGGGGAGGAGGGGGATGGGTGAAACAAGGAGTGGCTGAAAATGAGTATAGGGTTTCTTTTGAAGGTGATTCTAATGTTCTGGAATTAGATAATCGTGATGGTTGTACAAGTGTACTAACAACTGAATTGCATACTTTAAAATGGTAAATGTTATGGCATGTGAATTACATCTCAGCACAAATATCATGAGGAATCTCATGCATCCTCTAAAATTACACTTAAAAAGCAAAAAGCACGAGCAAGGGAAAACAAGCAAATTGCCTACTGCAAAATTAAAAGACAGATATTGTTAGGCTGGATTATAAAGCCATACACAACTATATACTATTGCTTATGAGAAATATAAAGACAAAAGTGAAAAGATGGAGAAAAATACACCATGGTAACGCACACATCAAAATAAACCTGAAGCAGCTCTATTAATATTAGACAAAGGAGATCTCAGAGCAAAGAATATTGCAAGGGACAAAGAGAGTCATTTGATAATGATAAAGGGGTAATTCATTAAAAGGATATAACAATACTAAATACCTATGCACCTAATAACAGCTTCAAAATACAGGAAATATAGGAAGGAAAAATGGATAAAACTGCAAGGGGAAATAGACAAATCCACAGTGGCAATTGGGGCTTTCAGTAACCCTCTCAGGAACAAGGCACAGGTGTCCTCTCCCTTCTGTTCAATATTACACTGTGGATTCTGGCCAGTGCAACAAGGCAAGAGAAAGAAAAGGCCTCCAGGGTGGAAAGGAAGAAGGCTTTCTTCACAGATTATATGTTTCTCTATGTAGAAAATCCTAAGGAGTCTACCACAAAGCTACTGGAACTAATAATTGAGTTTCGGGAAGGTAGCATTCTACAAAGTCAATATAGAAGAGTCAGTTGTATTCCTATATGCCAGGAATGAACACTTGGAATGGGAAATTTGGAAAACACCACCATATACAGTACCATCAAATACATGAAATACTTGGGGGTATATTTGACAAAAGATGAGCAAGCTCTGTAATTGAAAGCTACAAAACGTTGCTGTGAGAATTAAAGATGTAAATAAATGAGAGATACACTGAGCAGATTGGAAGAGTCGATATTGTTAAGACATCAGTTCTCCCCAGGTTGATGTACAGACTCAACACAATTCCAACCAAAATATCAGGAAGCCTTTTTTGGGAGAGTGGGGATAGGGCTAAACATTGACAAGCTAGTTCTAGAAGTTATATGAAAATACAAAGGATCTAGCATAGCCAAAACAACTTTGGAAAAGTGCACCAAGCTACTACTCATACCAAGAAATATTATAAAGCTACAGTAGCAAAGGCAGTGTGGTATAGTCATAAATATAGACCTGTTGTAGATCCAGGGAAAACAGTAGAAAGTTCAGAAAGACTACACATTTATGGTCAATGGATTTCCAACAAAGGCACTTAAGCAGTTTTATGGGGAAAGCATAATGATTTTTGGTTGTGTGTGTGTGTGTGTGTGTGTGTGTGTGTGTGTGTGTGTTTTTGAGATAGTCCAGCTCTGTCACCCACACTGGAGTGCAGTGGCCACAGTTATAGCTTACAGCAGCCTCGACCTCCTGAGATCAAGGAATCCTTCCACCTTAGCCTCCTTAGTAGCTGGAACCACAGGCATGTGCTGCTGCATGCATCTAATTTTTTATTTTTTTATTTTTAGTTTTTAAATTTATTTATTTTGAGACAGAGTCTCACTCTGTCACCCAGGCTGGAGTGCAGTGGCACGATCTCAGCTCACTGCAAGCTCCACCTCCCGGGTTCACACCATTCTCCTGCCCCAGCCTCCCGAGTAGCTGGGACTACAGGCAGCCGCCACCACGCCCGGCTAATTTTTTGTATTTTTAGTAGAGACGGGGTTTCACCGTGTTAGCCAGGACGGTCTCGATCTCCTGACCTCGTGATCCACCCGCCTCGGCCTCCCAAAGTGCTGGGATTACAGGCGTGAGCCACCGCGCCCGGCCTAATTTTTTGCTTTTTGTAGAGATGGGGTCTTGCTGTGTTGCCCAGGCTGGTCTCTAACTCCTGCTCAAGAACTCCTCCTGTCCCGGTCTCCCAGTGTTGGGATTACAGGCAGGAGCCACCACACTGGCCCAATAAAGAAGCTTTATGTGGTAGGTAGAATAACTGTCCTCAAAGATTGCCAGGTCCAAATCTCTGGACCTTGTGAATATGTCACATTACATGACAATAGGGACTTTGCAGAAGTAAGTGCAGGATCTTGGATGGGGGATCCTGGATAATCTAGGTGGACACAATCTAATCTCATGAGCCCTTAAAAGTCAAGACTATTCTTTGGCTATGGTTGGTCAGAGAATGATGTGATGGAAGGAAGGACAGGCATGAGAGGGACTCAAGTCCCTCATTTCTGGGGTTGAAAAAGGCATGAGCCAAGATATGGGGGAAGCCTCTGTAGGCTGAGAAGGACCTCTGACTGACAGAAGGGAAACAGAGACCTCAGTGCTACAACTGCATGAAACAATTCTGCCAGTAGCCCATGTGGGCAAGGAGACGGATTCTCCCCTGGAGCTTCTGGAAAGGAAGGCAGCCCTGCTGACACCCCGATTTCAGCCAGGAGAGCCCTTGTATCAAATTTCTGACCTATGGAACTGTGATGAAATACATTTGTGTTATTTTAATTCCCTCAAACTGTGGTCATGTGTTACGGCAGCACTAGAAAATTGACGTATGTTATAACTCTATAATAAGGAACGACCCAGTTTAACAATGGGCAAAAGAGGCGAACAGACACTTTACCAAAGAAGATTTATGGCTGACAGATAAGTGGGTGAAAAGATGTTCAACATCAGTAGTCATTAGGGGAGTGTAAGAGCCACAGTGAGATACACAGTCACTAGAATGGCTAAAAGGAAACAGACCACGCCAATGCTGGCCCGGATACGCAGCCCCTGCCAACTCCCCTGCACAGTCGGGAGGAATGCAGAATGGTGCAGCGATTTGGAAACAGTTTGGCAGCCTCTTAAACAATGAATAGTTTACCTCCCGTATGAACTGACCACATCATCCTTGCTATTTGCCCAAGAGAAACAAAATAATGTCAAAGACTTGTCCATGACTGCTCATAGCAGCTTTATTCATAATAGCCAAAAATTGCAGAGAGGGGCTGAGGGTGATGGCCCTCGTTTGTAATCCCAGCACTTTCAGAGGCCAAGGCAGGAGGATGACCTGAGGCCAGGAGTTCCAGACAAGCCTGGGAAACACAGTGAGACACCATCTCTACAAAATATTTTAAAAATTAGCCACATGTGTTGGTGCATGCCTGTAGTCCCAGCTGCTCAGGAGGCTGAGGTGGGAGGATCAATTAAACCCATGAGGTTGAGGCTATGGTGAGCTATGATGGTGCCACTGCATTCCTGCTTGGGTGACAGAGCAAGACCCTGTTTTTGTTTTGTTTTGTTTTTTGAGATGGAGTCTCGCTCTGTTGTCCACGCTGGAGTGCAATGGCACGATCTCGGCTCACAGCAAACTCCGCCTCCTGGATTCAAGCAATTCTCCTGCCTCAGCCTCCCAAGTAGCTGGGATTACAGGCGCCCACCACCACGCCCGGCTAATTTTTGTATTTTTAGTAGAGATGGGGTTTCCCCATGTTGGCCAGGCTAGCCGTGAACTCCTGACCTCAGGTGATCTGCCTGCCTCAGCCTCCCAAAGTGCTGGGATTACAGGCGTGAGCCACCACGCGCAGCCAAGACCCTGTCTTTAAACAAACAAACAAAAAAATCAAAAACAATTCTGATATCCATAAAGGACAGATAAAGAAATGGTGGCATTTGCATACAGTGGAAAACTATTTAGCAACCAAAAAGGATGAGTTATTGATGGATAAATCTCAAAGAAATTATGTTGAGTAGTGTGTGACAAAAAAATTCCCCTTTATACAAAATTCTATAAAATACAAAGAAATATATTTTGACAAAAAACATACCAGTGGTTTCCAGTCAGTGGGTAGCTGGAGACTTTGAGGGTGATGGAGATGGTCACCATCTTAACTGTAGAGCTGGTTCACAGACATTCACATGTCAAAACGGATCAATTTGCACATTTTAAATATGTGCGGTGCATTGTCCATTGATTATATTCTCTCACGTGGGCATCACCGACAGGAGTTCTGTCTATTTCAGTCACCGTTTCACCCAACTCCTGGAACAGAGCCTGACGCAGAGCGGGTGCCCAGCACACGTGGGGAAGAACAATGAGTGTCCGGCTGCACGCATGGTTCTGACTGTGCTTCCAGCCCGGATGCTCTGCTCTTCCCACACACCCTCTTCCTTGTGAGGCAGCTGGAATCACTCTGTTGCCTGCATTCCCGGTTCCCGACGTCACACCTGGGTTGTTTGGGAGGCCAAGGGAACAGCTGTAGGTGCCACCGCAGAAGTCCGTCTTCTCTGCTAATGCTGAGCTTTTTTCTCTCTTGTCCCTGGCACGCAAATAACCAGCCTGTTCACATTCCACCCTCTCACCTGGGCCTTCCCTCTGGCCCTCACCCACCATAATCCTGGTCATGTGGCCTTCTGCAGGCACGTATGTGGGGGTGGGGTGGTATAGGGGCACCATCCCTTGTCCTAGCTCCTCTCTGAGCCTCCACCAGATCAGGAAGAGCAGGCATAAGGCCCACAGGGCCCCACAGTGGCCGCCAGAGGGCTTCTCTGCAGGCCATGTAACGGATTATTGATGTCATTGATTTGCAAAAAGGAAAGCTGGGCCTTTGTGGAGACACACCTGGAGGCTGCTGCCAGACAGCACTGATTCTTCCTTGGAGTGGGCTGGGAAGGCAATCGTCTTCCGAACGCTAAGGACCTGTGGGCTCCACGCCGGGCCTTTGACTAATGTCTTACACTTGGAGATTCTCTGCTGGTTTCTATCATCAGCCCTGGCTTTCTGATCCATTCCCCACCAGGCAAGGAAAGAAAGGAAGCGTTTATATTCATCTATACCAACGTAAACGGGAGAGAACGCACCACCCCTTGCAGGACCAGCCGCAGAATTTGCCGAGGGCCCGTCACAAAATGAAAGGCTGTGGGGCCCCTTGTTCAAAAGTTATTCACAATTTCAAGATGGTGACCGTGGAGCATTAAACCCAGCTGCAGCCTGCTGAGCTCGGGGCCTGTGGGCCTGCATGGGTCACACCTGTGAAGCTGGCCCAGCCACACGCAGTGACTCATTGCCCAGAACATGAGCCAAGAGCGTTTTGTCACCAACAGCAGGCCTTGTTTTAGAGGCTGAGCTGGGAGAGATATGAGAGGGCTGAGCCACGAGACCCCCAGGATGTCTTCTCCCAGGGCGGAGGGTGCCAGCTTGAACGCTCCCCGGCACTAAGACGTCTCCGCTACAAGGCTGCCTGGGGTCCACATCCACATTGCTTTATTTTTATTTGAGATGGACTTTCGCTCTTGTTGCCTAGGCTGGAGTGCAGTGGCGTGATCTCGGCTCACCACAACCTCCGCCTCCCGGGTTCAAATGATTCTCCTGTCTCAGCCTCCTGAGTAGCTGGGATTACAGGCATGCACCACCACACCTGGCTAATTTTGTATTTTTAGTAGAGACAGGGTTTCTCCATGTTGGTCAGGCTGGTCTCAAACTCCCAACCTCAGGTGATCCGCCCACCTAGGCCTCCCAAAGTACTGGGATTACAGGCGTGAGCCACCACACCTGGCCTATTGCTTTAAAATTCACCTAAGTTCAATAGGGTCCCACTGAGGCAGGGCCTGTATCAGGCACTGGTGAGAAACAGATGAAGCTGCCTTGAGGTGCCCACAGGCCAGCGTCCCATGTAATGGGCTGTACCGTTTGGACCACCCTGAGGAGACCCCTGGCCTCTCAGAGGATGGAAACAACTCCTCTCCCCCCTCCGACCCTGTCCCTTCCCACACAGGGAGCACTGTCCCACCCCATGCCAACCTCCTCACTCAGGACTCCTGATAGCCCTGTCCTATGGTCTGAAGGTTTGCCCCCGCCCCAAATTCCTGTTGAAACCTAATCCCCAATGACATGGTTTTAAGAGGTGGGGCTGGCCGGACATAGTGCCTCATGCTTGTAATCCCAGCACTTTGAGAGGCTGAGGCAGGCAGATAACCTGAGGTCAGGAGTTCAAGACCAGCCTGGCCAGCATGGTGAAATCCCATCTCAATTAAAATACAAATAAACTAAAATACAAATACAACTAAAGATCCAATTAGCCAGGCATGGTGGCGGATGCCTGTAATCCTAGCTCCTCGGGAGGCTGAGGCAGGAGAATCACTTGAACCTGGGAGGCAGAGGTTGCAATAAGCCAAGATTGCACCATTGCACTACAGCCTGGGTGACAAGAGTGAAACTCGGTCTCAAAAAAAAAAAAAAAAAAAAAGTGGTGGGGCTGTTGGGAGGTGATGAGTCCTGAGGGCCCTCCATCCTCATCAGTGGCATTTAGCGCTCAAGGGAGCTTGTCTTCGCCTTCTACCACGATGATGGAGAGTGCGCCATTTATGATACAGACAGCAGCCCTCACCAGACACAGAACCTGCCTCGATCTTGGACTTCCCAGCCTCCAGCCCTGTGAGAAATCCATTTCTGTTGTTTATAAATTACCCAGTCTTGGGTATTTCGTTACAGCAGCCAAGGAAGGGTCAGATCCTACAAGGGGCTAAGGCTACAGTGGCCCTGCCAGGCTGGGCGGTGGCACAGAAGGTGAGGACGCTGATGGTCGGTCCAGGCTGGCCGAGGCTACCACGCTCCATCAACCCTCCCTGAACGTCTTGGGTGTCAACTGCAGACCTGGCGAGCCTGGCAGAGCGTTAGGGCAGGTCGCCCTCAGCACCGAGACCAGGCACGCTGCTGGCCTCAAGACAAACATTCCTGCTTCTTAACCCCACATGGGACTAGGATGAGGGGAGGAAGTAACATATGTTATTGTCACTACTACGTCCACCTTACAGAGGAACTTTAGGGCGCGAGATGACTTAGTGATGTCAATCTGGATGGTAAAAGTGGCACACGGGGGTCAGGCCCTGGCCTGTGACATGGCAGAAGAGCAGTGTCCGCTTCTACAAAAGCTGACCCAGAAGACAATAGTGCTGGTCACCCAGGTAGACACACTGCCCCCCAGGGATGTCATGCTGCTCCACGGGGAAGTCACTGTACTTTCTGCTCCTGGTTTTCAGGAAGGTGGCAAAAGTAATCCATCGCTCTGCAGAGGACTTCGGGGTTGGCCACTTCTTTTGTTTTTTTTTTGAGATGGAGTCTCACTCTGTCGCCCAGGCTGGACTGCAGTGGCGTGATCTCAGCTCACTGCAGCCTCCGCCTCCCAGATTCAAGCAATTCTCCTTCCTCAGCCTCCTGAGTAGCTAAGATTACAGGCGCGTGCCACCACACCCAGCTAATTTTTGTATTTTTAGTAGAGATGGGGTTTTGCCACGTTGGTCAGGCTGGTCTCGGACTCCTGGCCTCGTGATCCGCCTGCCTTGGCCTACCAAAGTGCTGGAATTGCAGGCATGAGCCACCGCGCCTGGCCTTTTTTTTTTTTTTTTTGAGATGGAGTCTCACTCTGTCGCCCAGGCTGGAGTGCAGTGGCACGATCTTGGCTCACTACAACCTCTGCCTCCCGGGTTCAAGTGATTCTTGTGCCTCAGCCTTCTGAGTAGCTGGGACTACAGGCACACACCACCATGCCTAATTTTTTTTTTTTTTGAGACAGTCTCGCCCTGTCATCAGGCTGGAGTGCAGTGGTGCTATCTCGGCTCACTGCAACCTCCGCCTCCCGGGTTCAAGCGATTCTCCTGCCTCAGCCTTGCGAGACCAAGTAGCTGGGACTACAGGTGTGTGCCACCACACCCAGCTAATTTTTGTATTTTCAGTAGAGACGGGGTTTCACCATGTTAGCCAGGATGGTCTCCATCTCTTGACCTCGTGATCCGCCTGCCTCAGCCTCCCAAAGTGCTGGGATTACAGGCGTGAGCCACTGCGCCTGGCCTTAATTTTGTATTTTTAGTAGAGATGGGGTTTCACCATGTTGGCCAGGCTGCTCTCAAACTCTTGACCTCAAGTGAGCTGCCCGCCTGGACTTCCCAAAGTGCTGGGATTACAGGTGTGAGCCACTGCATTAATTCTAAGTGATAAACTGAAGCGTCTGACTGGCTAAGGGCAGTGATTTCTCCTGCTGTTATTTCAATAAAATGGGCTTCTTTCCCTTTCTCTGGGCTTGCCAGGGAGAACCTGGGCCTGAAATCCTCTCTAACTGCATCACTTGGGGACAGATTTCTGGCCTCTGCCTAAAGTCTTAGGCCCCACTGTTGGAAAGCCCCTTCCTTGCAGGGTCCTGTTGTCTACACAGCCCTGGGGGCCACACTCCCACCACATGCCTAACACCCACTGGACATTCCCCAGTCACCTTAGAGATGGGGGAAGCAGGAGTGTGAGGATGAATGGGGAGAGGAGGAGAGGAGGTGAGGAGGGGAGAGGGGGTGAGGTGGGGTAGGGAGGGGAGGTCAGGTGAGGGGAGGAGGGGAGGGGAGGAGGGGAGGGGAGGTGCGGTGGGAGGGGAGGAGAGATGACATAGGGAGGGGAGGTCAGGTGAGGAGGGGAGGTGAAGTGGGATGGGGACGGGAGGTTGGGAGGGGAGGAGAGGTGACATGGGAAGGGGAGGTCAGGTGAGGAGGGGAGGGGAAGGGAGGTGGGGTGGGAGGGGAGGTGGGGAGGGAAGGGGAGGTGACATGGGGAGGGTAGGTGAGGAGTGGAGGGGAGGGGAGGTGGGGAGGGGAAGGGAGGTGACATGGGAAGGGGAGGGGAGGTGAGGTGGGGTGGGGAGGGGAGGGGAGGGGAGGTGGGGAGGGGAGGTGAGGTGGGGAGGGGAAGGGAGGTGACGTGGGGAGGGGAGGTCAGGTGAGGAGGGGAGGGGAGGAGGGGAGGGGAGGTGAGGTGGGGTGGGGAGGGGAGGTGAGGTGAGATGGGACGTGAAGGTGACATGGGGACATGAGGTAGGCATGTGAGATGGGGGTATGGGACACAAAGGTGACATGGGGCTTTAGGTGATGCGGGGACATGAGGTGACGGGATGTGAGGTGAGATGGGGACAGGACATGAGGTGATGTCAGGCCTCGTGACATGGGAACATGACGTGATGGATGCCGGCTTGAGACAGAGGACGGCGCACACCCACTGTGGGAATGTCTGGGGGCCTGCTGAGGACAAAGGAGCTGCCTCTGTTCCAGGGCCCCTGGATACATCCTCCCTGCCCTGAATCCCAGAGAGACCCGCAGAAGCTGATTCCAAATGCCCCTTTTATTAAAAATAATTGCACTTAAGATTTAGAATCTCCCAAGTCCTGTGAATTTTCCTGAGTTCCCAGGCTTGCTCGGGGACCGGCAGGCATCCAGCCCTCTGGGCAGCCGGGCAGCGGTCGCGTTGGGGCAGAGCAGCAGGCGCGAAGCAGGAGCTCAGGTGCATACCCCACACCTCCACCTGAGCACCCCCTTCTCCGGTGCTGGGAACAGATGGAGGGGGGTGGCTAATACTACCCGCATGCCGGCAACAGGTGAGGAGGGCAAACCTTACAATCTTATTAACACAGAGCAGCCCTCCAGGGCCCCGGCCCACAGTGCGATCTAGGGAGAAAGCTCTCCTAGACACGTTGGGGGCCAGAGCCCCGGCCCAGGAGGTGGAAACAAGCGATGCGGCGGCTTGGAATGGTTAGTGCCCAGCTCCAGGTGACACATGCAACCCCCAGGCCCGCACACAGCTGCTGCCCGCACACAGGCTCTGCTTCCCTGGGGAACCAGCCTCCCTCTGGAGAGACTAACACACTCCGCCCGGCTAACACCAGCTGACGAGAAACTGCTCTCCCATCAACAGCGAGACACAGATGTCCAGGACCTGGAAAAGAGAGAGCACAAATGGAGCAGCCCGAGATCCCAGCAGCAGTGAGACCCCAGCGCTCAGAAGGCGGCTCCATCTGGCCCCGAGATCCCAGCAGCAGCGAGGCCCGGCGCTCAGGGGGCAGCTCCGTCTGGCCCTGGGATGCTTCGCACCCGGTTCCTCCCCGGCAGGCGCAGGGGGACCCCGGCTCTCAGTGCGGGTCACCTTAACGCACGCCAGAAACGCGGTGCTGCTTCAACACGGCTCAGAGGTCGTCATTGTGGCCCCATCACCCACGTGTAGACACAGGAGGAGGAAAGGCACAGCCTGTGTGGCCTGACCCTTCCCACTCCTCCCCAAAGACCCCCTTGGGAGGTCCCAGCATCCTCTGTTCCTGGCATCGGTCACCAGGACGCCCAGCACCTTCTGCCCCCTGCACCACGGCTGGGGGACGCGATCCCTGTGCCACTCTGGGCCCTCTTGCCTTGGTGTCGGGGCTGTAGGTGAAGTTGGAGACAGGGACACCGTTGGAGAGGACCTGCTGGGGCGCCGTGGCCACGCCCAGGACAGTCACCTTCTGCAGCTGCAGGCCAGCTCCCTCACTGGTCACACGTACCAGCTCATTCACGATCGTGTTCTGGGCCGAGCAGAGAGAGATGAAAAGGCAGAGAATGTGGAGGTGTCAGCAGACAGCTGGGGCAGGAACACCCATGAGAACAGGGACTCATGATGGCATCAGGGAGGTGACCTCCCTCTGTGTACACGAAAGGGCAGAGTGCACGGCCCCACTGCTCACTCTAGGACCCCAGGCCACCTGCTAGAGTGTCCTAGTGGCAGGTAGCCATCGTGGGACCCCCAAGCCCAGGTCCCCTCACCCCTTCTCAACCCCGAGCCGGCCCCTGCCCACCAGCCTGAGCAGCCCCAGGACTCACATTCCTGGCCAGGAAGATGACCTGTGTGTAGGCCCCTCGCTCCAGCACTTCCAGGCTCTCTCCATCGTCCCAGAACAGCTCCCCTCGGGCCTCCCCACCCTTGGTCAGGGCCACAGCCAGGGCCATGGGCTGCTGGCGGGACTCTGTGGTTGTGAGGCCAGGGCCCTGGAAAGGGAAGGACACGTGATGTCATCATCCCCACCCTGGTGGAGGTGGAGGCCTCCAGGGCCCGGGAATGCTAGGCTGGTACAGCACCAGGCTGCCAGTAACTAGGATCTGCAGGAACACCTGCGGCCGCAGGGGCTGGAACCCCGTGGTGATGACCCAAGACCTTCCCCACCTCAAGTGCTATCCCACGGCTGCCCGAGGCCGGGCCCGGCAGAACCTCCACCATGCAGACCACTGAGCTCCTGCCGGCCATGCTCCACGCCTTTGTGGGGCTGTGCCCTCCCCACCTCACTGGCCTGGCTGGCTCCTTGATAACCTACACTGCGGGGGGCGGCCCCTCAGAAGCCCCACCTGGGCCTCTCCCCCACCATCTCCCTGTGCCTCCCCCAGCTCTGCAGTGTGCTGTCCACACCCCCACCATAGCCGCCTGGCCCAGGTACCTGCAGGGGGATGATGTACCCAGCCCGGAGGTGGACGTTGATGGTGTCCAGGGGGGCCGGCAGCGTCACCCACTGCCCCTCGCTGTGGATGGCTGGCTCACGGGGAGCTGCAGGTGGGGGTGGGAGGCTGCCAAGGGCCTCTACTGGCACCTGGAGGGAGATGTTGCTTTGAGGATTCTGGGCCGTGCCGAGGCCCCCATGCTGTCCTCAGGAACCACGCTCTCCATCTCCCGGGGCTCCACGTGGAGGCCTAGGAGGCCTGGCACAGACGGGCTGAACTGTGACTTCAGGCGCAGACTCAGGGCTCACTGTAGGTAGGGACCCTCCTGGCTACTGAGTGGGGACAGTGCCTGAGAGGCCTGGGTATGCCAGCTCAGCACAGGCACAGCCTGTGATGGCCGTGGGACTTGGCCAGGTTCTGCAAGCAGGCCTCAGTCTGCTCATCTGGGAAATGGGGATGGTGTGAGGAGCGGAGAGGCTGATGGGTGCGGAGCAGCCGGGTGGGGGCCTGGCACATGGCCGGGACTCAACACATACGTTCCTCTTTCCGCCACCTGGTCACACCAACTGGGTGGAGGGGGCAGGTGGGAGGGCTGCTCTGGTCTCCCGTCTCCCCAGGGCTTAGGGTCCCCAGACTCACCGTCTGCAGGTCGTACCATGTGCCCAAGGGGAAGTAGCCAGTCACTTCGGCCTTCCCGGCCTGGAGCACTGGGGTGATGAGCAGGGCCTCCCCCCACAGGAGCTGGTGGTCCACAGTCCAGGTGCTAGAGTCCTTGGGGAACCTGCAAGGGGGATGGGCACACAGGCATACGGGTGATGAATGGGATGGGGCTGGCTCATATGCCCACCCTGGGGAGGCACAGGAAGAGGCTGAATTCTGCTCTCTGGAGCTCAAGGTGCCGGAGGACTTGGAGGACTCAGGTCAGACGGGCAGGGATGATTCCAGCAGATAGAAGTCAATGCCGGAGCTGGGAGAAGCCTTCTCCCCGGACATGCCGGCAGCTGGGCTCAGGGCAGGAATAGGGGCTTGTGCTTGAGGCACCAGGATGGACACAGCACTGGCCTCACTTTGCTCGCTCACTTATCCTCCGGTAACCAAGGCAGCATGTGCTCATCAGTCAAGTATTTGGAAAGTACGAAAAAGTATCAACAAAGAGAAAAGATCCTCCCAGTCCCACAACCAAAGGCAACTTGAATTAACATCTGACAAAAAGATGAATGTACATGTGCAAGCAGCTCTACGGAGGATTCTCCGTCTAACGGAGACTGTCCTGCCCTGTGACGCAGCTCTGCCCTGTCCTGTTTCCTGCCCCCGGACGTGCAGGGGGCATCCAGTGCTCAGCTATGATCCCTGCATGGATACATTCATGGAGCGTTCATGCCTTTTGAGGTGACTTCTTTAGGCCCTATTTCTATTTGTAAAATTAACGCATCAATGTGAATCTCAAAAACATTGACTGATATGTACTGTTGCTTTCCACAAATGTGCCAATTTATATTCCACCCTACTGTGTCACTGTGTTCTTGCCAGCAAGGGATAGTCTTATTTTCTCTAATGTATTCTAATTCATGGGCAAAATAAATGGTGTCTTTCTGCTTCAAAATATTTCTTGCAAAATACATTTCTTGGAGTGATGTCAGTGAAGATGGTGGAGTAAGCCCCTCTCAAGATCCTCTCCTCTGTGAAAACAGGAACATCGGCAAAAATGGTCAGAGTTGACATTTTTAGGACTCTTGAAACTAACCAAGGGTTTGCAGCCATCTGGGGAGCATGTATTTAACAAAATGGCTGAATCTTTGTAAGAACAGCAAGAATCCTTGGCCTAGCTAAGTGTTGACGGTGCTCCCCACCTCGCCCCAGCAAAGGCTGGGAGACTCACGGATGCCATCTGTGAAGGATATCTGACCAATTATTGGCTGTCCACTAAGCTAGTCAAGCAGAGACTTTGGTGGCCACACACAATGAAGAACACAGACCTTATGGAATTAGCTCAAGAAAGTCACAAAACAATCAGCAATAGCAACGAGACCTGAGGGGGATGGGGAATCTGATGACCACAGCAGCTGCGTTTAAAATGTCCAGTCTGAAACAAAAATGTATGAGACACGCAAAGAAACAAGAAAGTATGGCCCACAGATGGGGGGACAGTAGTTAATAAAAATTGTCCCTAGAGAAGCCCAGACATTGGACTTACTAGACAAAGAGTTTACGTCAGCTACTTTAAATGTGTTCAAAGAGCTCAGCGAAACCGTGTCTGAAGAACTAAAGGAAAGTGTGAGAACATGACTCACCAGATAGGGAATATCCTTAACGAGAGAAACGTAAAGGAATGAAACAGAAATTCTGGAGTTGAAAAGAGAGCAACTAAAATGAGAAGTTCACTAGAGGGGCTCAACAGCAGATGAGAACTGGTGGAAAAAAGAATCAGTGACCTTGAAGACAGGGCAGTCAGACTAAGCAGTCTGAAGAACAGAAAGAAAACACAACGAGGAAGGAGTCAACAGAGCTGCAAAGACCCCTGGGCACCGTCAAGCATACCAATGTGTGGAACGGAAGTCCCAGAGTAGAAGACAGAAAGGGGCAGAAAAAATATTTTATGAAGTAATGGCTGAAAAACCGCCCAAGTTTGATGAAAAACATCAATGCATACGTCCAAGAAGCTCAACAAACTCCCAGTAAGATAAACTCAGAGATCTACACCTAGACACACCATCGGGACTTCAAAGGCCAAAGACAGAGAATCTGGGAAGAGGCAAGACAGAAGCTACTCAGCAGAAACCACGGAGGCCATGGGCTGACAAGTTCAAAGTGTTCAGAGAAACGACCGCCAGTCAAGAACCCTACGTTGAGCAGAACTTTCAAAAAATGAAGGAGAAATTAAGAGACTCTGAAGTCAACAAAAACTGAGAGAATTCATCACTAGCAGAACTGCCCTACAATAAATACTAAAGGGAGTCCTTCTGCTGTAAATGAAAGATGTTAGACAAGAAGTCAAAGCCACATGAAGAAATAAAACCATGGGTAAAGGTAACTACATCAGTAAATATAAAAGGCAGACAGTGTGTATGTACTTTTTGTTTGTAACCCATTTTTCCCTCCTATTTGACTTAAAAGATAATTGAATAAGGCGGTCATTATAAATCTGCGTGGATGGGCTCATCATGGATACAGACGTGTAACAGCACAGAGGAACGAGAGGCAATGGAAACCACATAGAAGCAAAGCTTTTTTATGCTATTGAAAGCAAGTTGGCATCAGTTCCAACGAGGCTAAAATTAAGATGTTAATTGTAATCCCTAGGGCAACCACTAAAAAAAAAAAAAAAAAAGTGTAGTGACAGAAACAACAAGGTCATTAAAATAGTAATTAAAACACAAATTGCGTTTCTTGGATTTCCGGGTGAAGAATGTGTGGATACCATTCGTATCTCCTGTTTTGCAAACAGTGTTCCTCCAATTTGGTTCTTAGTCTTGGTCTTACCAACGTATGAGTTCTCTACCTATTAGGAAGAGTAGCTATTTGCTGTTTTATTGACAATGCCTTCTCTGCTGTTACAGTCCATGTTCAGAGCAGTTTTAATCTTTTTGTGTTTATATTCAGAGATTTACATTTTTTTTTCTGCTATGGTCAAATAAAGTTCACCTTTTTTTTTTTTTTTTCTCTAAATGAAACCTTTCCCCAGAGATACACATTCACTTATCTTTTCCTGTGGAGTCTTTCACAGCTTGGTTTTTTTTTTTTGAGATGGAGTCACACAGGCTGGAGTACAGTGGCGCGATCTCGGCTCACTGCAATCTCCTCCTCCCAGGTTCAAGGGATTCTCTGGCCTCAGCCTCCTGAGTAGCAGGGACTACAGGCGCCCACCACCATGCACGGCTAATTTTTGTATTTTTAGTAGAGATGGGTTTCACCATGTTGGCCAGGCTGGCCTCGAACTCTTGACCTCAGGTGATCCACTCGCCTCAGCCTCCCAAAGTTCTGGGATTACAGGCGTTAGCCACCGTGCCTGGCCTCCACAGCTTGATTTTTGACATTAACTATTTAATTTATCTGGAACTTATGTTTCTATGGTATGCAAGAAAAATAAATTGACTTCTGCAAATAGTTAACTAATCACCTCACTCTCTGGGAATCCTCCCTCAACACACTGATGTGCAGGGCTGTTGTTAGGAACTCCTCGTGTGTACTACGGCCTGTCTGGGGGATATTACTGGGTTTTCTTGCTGCCCTTCCCCCTTAAGCCAGGCCCAAATGTTGTCTCACTCAGCGGCAACCTGCTGGGTCCTGGGGAACACAGCCCACAGCAGGACAGGGCTGCCTGGGAGTTACGTGCCCCTCCCCCAGGGCACACATGGGCCACCGCCCCTGCCTAGGTCACTCACTCCAGGAAGAGGGGCCGGGCCACGGTCTCCCCCGCGACGTGGGCCTGGTGGAACAGTGTGTAGAGGTGGGGGAGGAGTGCGTAGCGCAGGGTGAGGGCCTTCCTCATGGCCTGCTGGGCCGGCTCGCTGAAGCTGTACGGCTCCTGGGGCTGCAGGGCAGGCGGGGGCAAAGGAAGCACTTGGGTGCTGGGGCCGCGGTCCCCTGGAGTCCCCGCCTCGGGAGAGCTGCACTTCTCAGCCACCCAGCATGGGGTGCTTCTCCAGCAGGGGTGGGATTCCCAGGGGAGAGTCTTGGGTGGGTGGGATCGCCCACCTGCCATGCCGCCACCCCCACCCTACCAGACTGAGCAGGCTGTTGTGGTTCCGCATGAAGGGGTAGAAGGCCCCCAGCTGGGTCCAGCGCACACACAGCTCCTCTGAGGTGTTGCCCAGGAAGCCGCAGACGTCGGCCCCGACCAGAGGCACCCCCAGCAGGTTAAACTGCAGGATTTCTGGGAGGGCAGAGTCAGGCTGGTCCTCAGGCTGCTGCAGCAGAGCCAGCTCAGGCCAAGTGACCCAGAGCCCCACCTGCTAAGTGGGTGGGGGGCCCCGGCAAGCCTCCCATAGAGGCCCCCGGCTCTACTCTGCTGAGCAGCCCCTCCTGGTAGGAGCTCACCTGGCACGGAGGAGGCGAGCTGCTCCCAGGAGCTCCACACGTCCCCCGTCCAGTGGCCGGCGTATCGGCCGTGGCCAGCAAAGGTCGAGCGGGAGATCACAAATGGGCGTGTCCCCCGAGCCTTCACCAGCGCCCTGGGGTGGTGGGGGACACCGTGAGGGCTGTGTGGAGCGGGGTCACTCGGGAACCCTGTCACCAGCAGGGCAGAGCTGGGAGCAAGGAGCTTTCTGGGATGAGGCAGAGGCTGGGGAGGAGGACGGCGAGGCTACTGCCCATGTCTGCGGGCACAGTTGCCTCTGTCTGGGCCACCTGATGCCTGTAGGTGAGCCAGGACCCCCCCCAGCCTCACAGGAGTCATGAGGTCCCCGCTGATGCAGACTCCTGTCAGCATCCAGGGTCCTTCCTCTCCAAGCCCCAGGCATGAAGTGGGAAGGAGCGCTCCAGCTTCAGGCTGGGGTGCAGGCAGCGGGTGGGGAGAGCACTCGGGCCGCCAGCGGGCCCCGGGTGGTCTGGGCCTCCGCTTTTCCTCCTCCCTGAGGCCCTGCAGAGGCCCCAACCTTGTAGGACAGGCTGTGAGGGCAGAGCCCAGTGGGGCGGGACGTGGCCCTCACCTGTGGGAGGCGATGGCTTCGGTCAGGCCGTAGAGGTTGTGCAGGTTGTAGTGTGTGGAGAGAAACTGGTGGCTGGAGGCACAGATGGTGGCCGCCTGGAGGGTCCCCCCAACCACCCCTGGAAGAGGCGGGGGCTGGTTTCCAGGGAGCTTCCTCCCGGCAGGCTCCAAGGTGCCCTCCCTGCCCCCCACCTCCCAGGAGCCCCTGTGCAGGTCGCTGCCTCTTCAGGCTGGCCCTGGAGGTGCACCTGCAGCCGCTCCCCACGCCTCTGTGGGGCTGGCGTTACCCGGGAACCTGGGTAATCATCTCCACTGCTTCTAAGACAGGGCTGGGCGGGTGCTGGAGCCTGGGCTCTGCAGACCCCCAGACTTCACATCCACCGTCTCTTGGCCCATTTCAAGCACTCCCCTGCCTGTTTACCTAAGCCCAAAACCCCATCCTCTCACTGATTCTTTGCTGGGCCAAACTATAGCCTCAGGCCCCCAAACCTTCTCCCAGGCCCATCCTTGTACTTCCTTGTAAAACCCAGTTTCTGCCATTCCTGCTAAGACAGTTTGGCGAGAAGCCCCAACCTCCACCACCCCTCAGGCGATGTCTGGTCACCCTGGCCTGCCTTCAGCAAGAATCCTGCTGGGTCAGTTCAGCCAGAATCCCCCTGACCCCCATGCTTCTTCTTGGTAATTCCTGCCTCTGAGCCCACCCTGCTCCCTGGCTAGAAATCCACTTGCCCGTGCTGCATTCGAGTTGGGCCTGACCTCTCCCCACGGGTGGGTAGGTCTCCGCTGCATGGTCCCTGCGCCTATCGAGACGGCTCTGAGTCGAGTCGGCCTCACTGTGCTCTGGCAAGCACCTGTGAGCGGCGTCTCCTCCGGCAGGGCCTGTGCCTCTGCACCCACCCTGTCTGCACTGCTTGGCTGAGTCTCCCAGCCTGAGCCTTTCTCCTGGGGATCCCCCCCCCGCCCCTTTCCCCGCTGGCCCATCTGCTTCTCAGAGATGAGGGTGCTAAGTCTCCCAGGCCAGACAAGGGAGTCTCTGATTTGATTAAGTCCCCAGGGTAGGTGGGGGGCGAGCTGACCAGGCACGTAGGGTGGGTTCTCCAGCTCATTGTTGGGGCAGCCGTCCTCAGAGCCCCTGATGAAGTTGGAAGGCTCGTTCATGTCCTGCAAGAGAAGCGCTGCTGGTAGGTGACTCTGCCCAGAGTGAGGAGGGTGGGGTAGTCCCCAGAGGCCTTGGGGATGCTCAGGAGGGGGCCACACTTACAATCCACATGCCGTCGAAGGGCACCTGGTCATGGAACTCAGCCACCATGTCCTCCCACCAGGCCAGGGCTGTGGGGTTGGTGAAGTCGGGGAAGGCAGTGGACCCGGGCCATACCTGGACAACGAGAGGCTGCAGTGGGGAGACCCGGCCCCACCCAGGGCCTGCATGGAAGCCCCACTGAGCCTCAGCCTGAGCAGAGGGGCAGCCTCACTCTTAGTGGACGCCCACATTTGCAAATCTGAGAGACCTGCACCCTGGAGGTCAATGAGCAGCTCTTTCTCCACAAGGCACTGATGCGGGGCCAAGGGGCCTCAACCCTGGGAAAACGAGGGGTCACCCCCAACACGTCCACCCAGGGGCTGGGCTGCAGAACCAGAGAGCGTCAGGGAGAAGGGCAGCGGAGACGGCCCCGTGCAAGCCCTGCCAGGCAGCCTCACATCCGCACCAGACCCTCCCTAGCTGCTCCCTCAGCGGGGGCCCTGCCTGGAGGCCCCTGGGGGGCTGGGAGGACAAGGAGGACCCTAAGGCCTCACTGAGGGTCTGCAGGGCTTGTGCCTGGGCCAGGCCCAGCTGCCCATGAAGTCAAAGGCCTGCTGATGGAAGAACTCACGGGGCCATTCCTTGTAGGAGCCACCATCGTCACGGGCCACTGTGGCCCATTCCTCTCAGCTGTCCCACTGGGCGTGATGGCTCCTCAAATCCCACCGTCTTCCTGAGCAGCTGCCGGCTCCCCCTGGCTGGAGGCCTCTGCTTTCTAACCCCCGTCCCCTGGACCCTCGCCCTACCTTCCCAATCAGCGGCTGGCCGGTCTCGTTGGTGATGAAAACCCCCCTCCGCAGACCCTCGTCGTAGGGCCTGTAGCTCCCGGCAGGGCCCGAGCTGCTGATGGCAGGATCCTGGGAAGAGGGAAACCTGTCAAGGTGAGGGTGGCCCAGAGCCCTGGCGCCAGCCACGGGGAAAACTGAGACAGTGAGAGGATGAGGCTGGGGATGACATCATGCGTGTGTACAGCATGCCTGCCTGTGTACCTGCACATGCCTGCACACGCCTGCCTGGAGAGGAGCCAGGGCCGGGCGAGTCAGGACCAGCTGGCTGATGAGGGGCGCGCCGGAATGGAAGCTTTACCTTTACCTTTTCTTTAAACCTCTAGAGTTTCCCAAGTGTTCTACAGTAATCACTTTTCTTTTATAATTAAAAAAATGTGAGAAAGAAAAAAGTCTGTGTTTCCACTCCTGCTCTTAAGGGCTACTACTGTTTGCTGCCTGCAGAAGGCAGGGATGGAAACAGGCAGCATCAGCACAGCCCCACATCTCATCTGTGCTTCCTCTGCTGAAGTGGATCTTCCGGGCAGGAACTGTTGGATCTTTTCAGCTCGCCCTGCCTCCCACCTCCTCCTCTGGCCATCGTGCCGGACACCAGACTCGGGCTGGACCAGCCCCCAAACTGCATCCTTCTGGCTGTGGGACTGGCTCAGGGAAGGGCCTCTTTGTGCTGGGTGACTCAAGAGTCCTGCTTTGGGACTTTTCTATGGGAGCTGATGGGAAGAAGTCTCCGCTCTGTGGTGCCAGCATGAGGGCTGGAAGCTGCCCTCACTCACGCCGTCCTTTCCAGGGATTCAGAGCCGGCCAGAAGGAGAGGCACGGCCAGAAGGCACACGGAGCCTCCACAGTTCCAGCGATACCCATGCCCAGGCCCACCGGGCCCTCCACTTTCCAGGACCAGGTGACATCAGTTTATCATGCCCCTGGCCTTTTGCTTTAAGGCAGTTCAAGTAACCTACATCTGACAGAACCCTGAGTAGCACCCGGCCATTTCTGGGGACCCTCAAACCCGACCTCCCTGGACAGCTGGGGCCAAGCCTGCAAACTTCTTGATATTCCCTCGATATCACAAAGACCCTCAGAAAACATCCTCGGCGACCACACAGGCACGAGGATGACGCTGCACAGAGAAGGAGCCACTGGGCACCGGGCGGCCCCCTTCCCAAAGACCCACAGTGTGGGGGCACACACCACGATCATCATGTAGCGCCGGCCGCCCTGGTGCAGCTCCTGCACCATGGCCGGGAAGTCCCGGAAGCCATCCTTGTTGAACGTGAAGTCCCTCCGGGAGTCCATGTAGTCCAGGTCGTTCCACTGGACGTCCTGCAGCCACAACACGGGACCGTCTGCTGGGGCCTGAGGAGACGCGTCCCGGCCAGCCCCTTGCCTCCCCTGCCACCACCCCAACTCACCAGGGGGAAGTGGGCCCTGGTCATGTTCTCCACCACCTGGCGGGTGATAGCGGTGGAGGAGTAGCCCCAGCGGCACAGGTGGAAGCCCAGGCCCCAGTATGGCGGCATGAACGGGTATCCTGCAGGCCAACGCCGACTTCATGAGGGAGGGAGGAGGGAGCCTTGGGGCGGGGGCCGCGGCCAGGGAGCAGGCCCTACCCACAACGTCCAGGTACTGCTGCACCACGCTCTTGGGCTCTGGGCCCAGGAAGATGTAGACATCCAGGATCCCACCTGTCGACCTCCAGCTAAGGGCAGGGCTCGGCTGCAGGACCACATCTGGAAGGGAAGCAGCTCTGGGGTTGGGGGACAGATTCTTCACTTGGAGGGCTCTGCACCCCACAGATGGGCCAATCACAGGCGGAGAGTTGAGGCTCTCTCCCCACGAGGAGCTCAGAGTGGCCTGGGGAAGCCGTGCTAAGCCTGACTCAGGAGGAACCTGGCATGGGACGGAAAGATATGTGGTGCCAGCCCACCTCCAGGCAGGGCCCCAGAACCCTCCTTAGGAGCACAGAAGGCCAGAGTTGGGAGAGGCATCAGCCCATAGGACTCATTTCCCAGAAAACACAAGGCCCAGCACCGTGCCCAGGGCCCCTCATGCGGACCTCCAGTCTCCAGGGCAGGCAGCACGGAGGAGACCCCGGCCCGGGCGCTGGGCGGCGGGCAGCTTACCCATGGCATTGCTGTTTAGCAGGAACACCCCGTGTGCCGACCCGCCGTCCTCCAGCGCCAGGTAGAAAGGGTGAGACCCGTAGAGGTTCGCACCGGGCTGGGACATGCAGGAGACGGCGCTTCAGCACCTGCGCTCCCCAGCTCAGTGCCCCCGCCCGCCGCCCGCCGCTGTACCGTGGGCGCAAGGTCCCGGTTCCACAGGGTGATCCTGGTCCAGCTGGTGCTGAGCATCAGGGGACTGAGGTGCTCGGCGAGGCCTGTGATATACTGCGAGGGCAGCGAGGTGGACAGCTGAAGGAACTGGTCCGCAAAGAACAGGGGCGCCACCGTCGTGTTCAGCCTGCGGGACAGAGGCCAGCCAGGCTTGCTCACACCCAAGGGGCCACACGAGCCTGAGAGCACCCAGAGAGCACCCCCGGGCCCTGGTGCCCTGGGAGGGCGGAGTGGCCTGGCCAGCCCTGCAGCACACTGACCCTGGGACAGGCGGCCGTGCCGAGCCCTGCAGCCCTTGGCACCCTGGCACCAGCGTGATCAACTCTCAGGGCATATCAGAAGAGGCGCACCGCCTGGCTGGGCCCACACCACCCCTGAGGGGCCCCCAAGGGGCTGACCTCCAGGAACTGGCTGGTACCGGAACTGGCACACATGCCTGTCCCATGACCCCAAGCAAGGCTGGGCAGGGGCTGAACAGAACCTTTCCAGGCCTAGGAGCTTGTGGCCAAAGTCCTCCCAGATCCCAGCCCAGCCATGCCTGAGAAGGACCCCTGAGGTTTGCTGGGGGTCAAGTGCAAGGCAAACAGCACCTCCGAGAAATGAAAGCCGCAGATAAACCCGGTCCACAGGAAGACGCGTCCTCTGTTAACACAGCACAGCTAATTTCGCAGGACGGGCTCACACCGCACCCACCCTCCCCTGGGCAAGACTACGCTGAGTGCTTTCAAGACCGAGATCTGATAAGATGCCTGTTTGTTGTTTGTTTTTTGAGACGGGGTCTTCAGCAAGGCTGAAGTGCAGTGGCAAAATCATGGTTCACTGCAACCTCGAACCCCTGGGCTCAAGGGATCCTCTTGCCTCAGCCTCCTGAGTAGCTGGGACCACAGGCATGTGCCACAATTCCCAGCTAATTTTTTATTTTTATTTTTTAAGAGATGGGGTCTTGCTATGTTGCCCAGGATGGTCTTGAACTCCTGGGCTCAAGTGACCCTCTCGCCTTGGCCTCCCAAAGTGCTGGAATTGCAGACATGAACCACCATACCTAGCTTGATAAGATGCTTTGAGAAACTTCTCTTGGGTCTCTCTACTCAGAGGTCAGCTCAGAGAGGCCACCCCTGTCCCCTGCATCTGCACAGCTGGTTTCCAGAGTGGCCTCCCCACCCCCCACTCCTGCACAGCTGGCTTCCAGAGAGGCCACCCCTGCCCCCAACATCTGCACAGCTGGCTTCCAGAGAGGCCATCCCTGTCCCCTGCGTCTGCACAGCTGGCTTCTAGAGGGGACCTCCCTGCCCCGTGTCTGCACAGCTGGCTTCTAGCGTGCTCTCTGCATGACCACTCCCTGACGCTGTGTCTGCATGGACTTGCTTATGGCTTCCCCTCACTGTGTGTCTGTCCCCGGGAGCAGGATCCAAACCACCCGGCACGGAGGGTCAGTGCGTGGACACTGAGTAAATGAATGAGCAAAAAAAGAAAAACGCATTTCCGAAGGCAACTTCTCTTAAGATTAAGGCAAATCCAAGTGCTGTCGTTCCTGAGAGTTTTCCTGAGTTAAATGACAAGCAGGGGCTTGGTGAGTCCTGAACACGTGTTTACATGGGATTTAGACCTATGTGAGTAAAAGACCCAGGGAGCGCCCTGTGAGAAATGCCCGTCGCCCTCCCCGCCGTGTGAGAAACAAACATGTGTCGCCCTGCCCATCGTGTGAGAAACAAACGCGTGTGGCCCTCCCTGCCGTGTGAGAAATGCGCGTCGCCCTCCCCATCATGCTGGCACAGAGCCCAGAACTCACAGCACGCGGCCGTCCAGCTGCCGGCGCACGATCACCCCGAAGGGCTCCTCGGAGAACTCCACGCTGTAGAGTGGGGACGGTGCCCGGCTGTGGACATGCGGGGTCTCCAAGGGCACCTCGTAGCGCCTGTTAGCTGGATCTTTGATCTAGAAGAGATGGGGGTTTATTGATGTTCCCCACAGCCACCTTACTCTCCAGAGAACAACCCGCACGCCAAGGACAGGTCAGGTCCTGGTGCAGCCACACATGGATGTGGGACCATGGGCAGCACATTCAGCCTCTCTGAGCCTCGGCTCCCTCATCTGCAGAGCCAGGAGGAGGACGCCTCCCCCAGGATGGAGGTAAAATACAGAACACCTGATAACTCTGAATTTCAGATAAACAACAAGCAGCTTTTCTAGTATAAATACATCCCAAATTTTGCATCCTTACACAAAAAAACAAAGTCATGCCTGGGGTATCTGCAATTCGGGTTTACTGGGCATCCTGTTTTCATTCGCAACCTCTGGCAGCCCTACTCTACCTGACCCACCTTTTCATAAAGATGAATGAGCCCCGAGCCCTGCCTTCTGGAGTACCTGTCACCGTGGTGTCCCCACTGCTCCCCGAGGGGCGCTGCCATTGTCTGCTCACACCTCCGCTCCCAGCAAGGGCCCAGCACACAGTGGTGCAACATGCACCCCACCCTTGTGAGGTGCGTGGGTGTCGATGTCCACGCGCACCCTCTGCCCTGGCCGCCGCCCCCGCCCCTGCCCTGCCCACCGTGAAGTGGAGGCGGTTCTCAGTCTCCATCATCACGTCCAGCCGCAGGGTCAGGATGTCCTTGGGGAAGAAGGTGGGGGTGGTACGGGTCAGGGTGGCCGTGTAGCCCATTTCAGAGGAGCTCAGGTTCTCCAGCTTGTAGCTGGGGTAGCTGGGTGGGAAGAAGCACCAGGGCTGCCCCATCTGGGCTCCCTGCAGCCCCTGCTTTGCAGGGATGTAGCAACAGCCGCGGGCCTCGCACTGTTCCTGGGTGATGGCCTTGTCAGGGGCGCAATCGAAGCGGCTGTTGGGGGGGACGTCGCACTGTGTGGGCACTGCTCTGGGACGGCCGGGGTGTGCCTGGGCATCCCGGGGCCCTGGTCTGCTGGCTCCCTGCTGGTGAGCTGGGTGAGTCTCCTCCAGGACTGGGGAGGAGCCACTCAGCTCTCGGGGAACCAGCAGGAAATCATGGAGTAGGATGTGCCCCAGGAGTGCAGCGGTTGCCAAGGACACGAGGGCGCAGACGGCCAGGAGCCGGTGGGAGCAGGGCGGGTGCCTCACTCCCATGGTTGGAGATGGCCTGGACAGCTCCTACAGGCCTGCGGGAGAAGAAAGCGGGCTCAGCAGGGAGGCGGGAGGGGCGGCACTCACGGGGCTCTCAAAGCAGCTCTGAGACATCAACCGCGGCTGGCACTGCAGCACCCAGGCAGGTGGGGTAAGGTGGCCAGGGTGGGTGTTGCCCTGCTGTCTAGACTGGGGAGAGGGCCAGAAGGAAGGGCGAGAAAAGCTCCAGCAGGGGAGTGCAGAGCACTTGCACAGTCTGCTAAAATGTTACAAATCAAACACGCTTAGAATGTCCCCAGGAAGACCAGCAAGGCAGGTAGACACTTGAAACAGGCCAAACAGCTGTCGCCTGGGCCAGAGTGCTGTGGTGAGATCCTGGCTCACTGCAACCTCCACCTCCCAGACTCAAGCAATCCTCCCACTTCAGCCTCCTGAGTAGCTGGGACTGTAGGCACACACCACCGCACCCAGCTAATTTTCTGTATTTTTGTAGAGACGGGATTTTGCCATGTTACCCAGGCTGGTCTCGAACTCCTGAGCTCAAGTGATCCACCCCCCTTGGCCTTCCGAAGTGCTGGGATTTCAGGAGTGACCACGCCTGGCTGGGAGCCCCACTTCTGCATAAAGGTGCGGCTTGGTCCACTGGGTGTCAGCGGAAGTGATTCTGGCAACTCGTATGTCCTTAGGGGGACCCAGTACCTTTCCTTGCTCCCTTTCCTATTGACTGGTGCACGGACATACCACAGTGGGGAATCCTGGGCACCGCAGCTGAGGGTGACACTCCAGGGGTGGCAAAGCCACAAGAGAGAAAGGACTTAACCTCTGGCGACTTTGCAGATCAGAACCCCTCCCGGCCCCCGAGGTACATGGGGAAGAAACACAGTCTCTGTAACAGTGGCTGCACCTGGAGCCTCGGGTACAGACACAACAAGGATGTCGCGTGCAGATGAGATATGGGGGTTCGCTTTCATTATTCTGCTGGTAAGGTTAACAAGTACCAACGACCTTTGTTTCGCTTCTCTGTACATTAATATTTTATGGCAAACATTCTATTAGCCTGGCTCCTCCCAGGAGCAGCCGGAACCCACATGCGATTCAATATGCATGGATTTCAATAGGGGAGTCCCTTTGGTGTGTGTAATACACCATGGGGAGGGCGTGGGGAAGGCTGGGAGAGCCACCGCACCTAGGCAAGTCTGACCCCAGGGAAAGGAGGAAGAAGGTGTCCTAGGAGCAAGGCCATGGGGGAGGGATGCAGAGAGGTCCTCAAACCAAAGTCAGCCATCAGAGGGGTCTGCGTCTCTGAGGAACGGGCCTTGGAGCAGAGGCAGGCAAGGATTTCAGAAAGCAGCCCCTGGCCAGTGAAGCTCCTTGGAGCAGAGGACTGTGCAACCTTCTCTGGTACTGGGAGCTGGTCACATACCAGGAAGAAGTGAACTCAGGGCCCGAGGGAGTCTGACCTGTCATGTCATGTTACAGAAGGCTTGGCTGGGAACGCTCTGCCCCCGGCCGGACGTGGTGTTCCACCGTGGGCCACTGGTAAATTAGGGCTCTCTGGGCTGGAGGGTGAAACATTTTACCCACACTTCTGACATTAAATGTGTAGGGTTTTTCTCACACCCATCAATTCTGCAACTTTCTGGACACGGCTGGGTGTCCTACAATTCAATTCAATCTTGACACTACCTGGAGTCAGCACAGACTCCACAGGTTAAGGGCTCAGTCCCACAACACTGCCTTCACTTCAGAGGCCAATGGCAAATCCCAGGTTGTCACTTGTACTTTCGATCAACTAGTTATAAATTCAGAGGTTCCCAGGACTCCCTCTTCAGGGTCACAGAACTCAGGAAAGTGCGTTTCTTACAGTTGCTGGTTTATTACAAAGGATAAAACTCAGACAGCCGTATGGAAGAGATGCGTAGGGCCTGGTGTGAGGTGGGGGCAGTGATGCTGTGCTCTCTGCTCGCACCACCCTCCAGTGCCTTGGTGTGTTCCACAACCCGGCGGGAAGCCCTCTGATCCCTGTGGTTTCTTACGGGGTTCCATTGTGCAGGCATGGTTGACTAAGCCACTGGTGATTCACTCAATCTCCAGCCCCTCACCCCTTTTCCATCCCAACCCGTCATCAGGCCTTGGTCTTTCTGGCCATCTGCTTCCATCCTGAAGCCACCTGGTGTCCCCGGTCATCAGTCACCTCATGAGCAAAAGGCTCTCTCATCACTCGGTTTCCAAGGGTTTCGGGTGCTATGTGCCAGCAACCAGGGACAAAGACCAGAGACAGTCACCCCTGGCCTGGCCTAAGGGGGTCTTTGTGATTGAGACATTCAGATTTCAGAGCTGGCCCAGGGGCCCCCTCTCAGGCCACGGTGCTCCTCACCCCAGGGATTCAGACCCAGCCATGTGCGTCCTGCAGGAGCAGGAGAGGTGGCTCGGGTCCCGGCCAGGACTGAGCACTGCGTCGATCAAAAGGGGAAAGGAAACCCTAGAAACGGGAAGATGCAGCCTCCAGCCCCAAGCCCAGCACAGGAGGGCGGCTCCCCGTTCATCTCTAAGCTGAACTCAGATAAAGACCGGGAGGACTAGAGGTCTGGGGCTCAAGCTCCGCTCAGGGGAAGAGGCTGGGGGCACGGCTAGGCACGTTCAAACCCGCTTCTGGGATGTTACCGCCGGCAGCGCGGGGCAGACGTCAGGTGTCTCACCCGCTCCGTGCCTCAGTTTCCCCGTCAGCTGCGGCACGCGCAGAGCCTCCCTCGCTGAACAACGGGCGGACGAGGAGAACCTAGAGGTGGCCGGGGTCCTTCGCGTCACCGAGGTCACTGTCCTACCTGCTGCCTCATCCCCGACCTCCACCCGCGGCCCCGGCGACAACCTCAGCTTTCCCAACTGAGAGGCCGCGCGGGCAGCCGACCGCCCCACCGACCCGGCCCGCGCTCAGGGAAGCCCCGCAGCCCCGGCCCGGCTCACCTCCGCGCACGCGCGCCCTGGCCGCCCGCGGAGACTCCGGGGTCGTGCCCGGGGGCGCGCAGAGGCGGGTCACGTGACCGGCGGGAGCTCGTCGCGGGGCGGGGCCGCGGTGGGTCACGTGACGCGGCCTCCCGCGCAGGCGCCCGAGGCAAGGGTGCGCGTCCGCGCTACGCCCCCCAGTGGCGGCTCCGGCAGAGCGGGCCTGGGCGCGTCCTCGCTCTCGGAGGGGGCCTGGGGAGCGCGTCTGGCTGCGCGTCCGGCGTCCCGCGGGGAGAGGCCCACGCGTGCTGCCCGCTGCCGGTTCCTCTGGGGTCAGAGACGGGGCGAGGCCCCCGCTGGCGCAGTCCCGGCCCGGTCCCCGTGGGGTCGGAGATGGGGCGTGGCCCCCGCTGCCCCGGCCTGGGTCCCCGCAGCTCGTAGGGCTTTGTAAGGGGCTGGCCCAGCCGCGCCTTGCGCCCAGGGATTCCTCCTGCCAACGCGTCCCGAGGGCATCATCGGAAAGGCGGCCAAAGGCGCTCAGCGCCAAGTTAGAAACAGCCAACATTTGGAAAGTCCTTAAGTGTGCTCCATAACTCACAGTTATTCCAGAAAGGAATAATCAAAACATTGTGATAACCCATAAAACTGACAATTGAGAAAACATTAAACTGACACAGGGGGAATTTTTTCATAAAATGAGAAAATGCTTACATTAAGAGGAGCACATTTTTACATGTGAGATACAAAAAACACACAGTATAACCTTAACTTGCCTAATAAAATGTATGTGCAGAAAAATACAAAAGGAGCCACACCAAAACACAGAGGTGTTGTTCCTGGGTAGGGGCATAGGGGCATTAAAAGCCCCCTTTCCAGCTTGCAGCGAGCCGAGACCGCGCCACTGCACTCCAGCCTGGGCGACAGAGCGAGACTCCGTCTCAAAAAAAAAAAAACAAAAGCCTCCCTTCCACCTCTGTTGTGGTTTCTGTATTTCTACAATGTTTTAAAATAAGTAAGGCTGACTCAGAAAGGCTTACTAGATATTCAGAAAAAAGATTTTATTCTTCTGCTGAAATGTTTGAAAGTGAAATTATTTTGTAGAGCATTTTCCCTTTAAACTGCAAAGAAGCCCCAAGGTCATTGGTACTTGGAAGTCCAGGGAGAAAGAGCGCTGGGTTAATGATGGAGAAAAGATAGGTGGGCAGACTGGGGCGTAGTCCCTTGGTGTGGACGCCCCAGCGTGCTCTTATTTCAGTGCTCACCCTGTTACGTGTGTCTGGGGCCACTGACTTTCTCCTGCAAGCTGTGGATCTGAATTTAACTCAAATGGGGACATGGGGGCAGGAAAAGGGACCTGAGAGTTCTAAGGGGTGGGGATGGGAAAACTGGTAAAGAAGGTGGTTTGTGGGTTTTCAGATGCACCTAGTAGAGGGAAGTGCTGGGGGGACCAGCCTCCCGGGCCAGGCTGGCTGGAGCTGCCTTAACTTTCCCACCTCTGCTCAGCCCACCAGCTTGTGGACCTGTGGCAGCGTTGTGTTGTGAGAGGCACGTGCAGATTTGGGAGTGCTGCAAACCAAAGTGTTACCTGGACGAGTAAGCCCAGTGTGGGAGTGTGGGTGTGTGGGTCTGCAGTCACAGGCTCTGTCTTTGCGATGGGATGCCATGGGAAACGCTAGGATTTTACCTGGTTTATTAAATTGCTGAGTGGCTAAAAAGATTCCTATGGGTGGGGCTGGCTTATTTCTCTTAAACGATGCCCTTCTGAGGGTACATGTGGTTTTTAGGAACACAAAAGATTCCAAGTCCCTCATGACAAACACAATTCCGGATCTCTTCCTGGAGGCCTTGCAAGGCGGAGTCCAGGCTGCTCCCTAGGAGGGCCCTGGTGACTCGAGCTTGTTGGCGATCATCTGGCTGACCTTGTGCAGGGCCTCCTGGAACTGGGGGTACTCGTCCCGCACGCGGTCCAGGATGGTGGCGATGAGAGCCAGTCGCTTGTCCAGGCGCTGGCGCTCCAGCACTAGGGACTGCTTGGAGCGGAACAGGAACACGTAGCGCCCCTCCTTCACAGCCTGCAGGTGCTTAAGGCGTGTCTGCAGGGCCACGATCTCTGAAAGGTTCTGGGTAGGAAAAGAGACTCCATATAGGGCTATGCAAACCAGAAGAAAGACACCTGCTGGCCCCCCACAAACTCAGATTCCAGGAAATGCCGAAGAGGAGGCGAGACCTACGCCTGAAAAGGGACGGCGTGAAGGTGTTGCGCCCCTGGATCTCAGGGAAGAGGCTGAGAGGCACTGGGTCGGTGCTTTATGGGTCACCCATCATCACCATCTAGGAGGCATTCTTTTTTTTTTTTGAGATGGAGTCTTGCTCTGTCGCCCAGGCTGGAGTGCAGCGGTGCGATCTCGGCTCACTGCAAGCTCCGCCTCCCGGGTTCACGCCATTATCCTGTCTCAGCCTCCTGAGTAGCTGGGACTACAGATGCCCGTCACCAGGCCCGGCTAATTTTTTGTATTTTTTTTTTTTTTAGTAGAGACAGGGTTTCACCGTGTTAGCCAGGATGGTCTCGATCTCCTGACCTCGTGATCCGCCTGCCTCGGCTTCCCAAAGTGCTGGGATTACAGGTGTGAGCCACTGTGACCCGCCGGCATTTTTTTTTTTTTTTTTTGAGGCTGTCTCGCTCTGTTACCTAGGCTGGAGTGCAATGGCACAATCTTGGCACACTGCAACCTCTGGCTCCCGGCTTCAAGCGATTCACCTGCCTCAGCCTCCCAACTAGCTGGAATTACAGGCACCCACCCCCACCACCACGCCCGGGTAGCTGAGATTACAGGCGCCCGCCACCATGCCTGGCTAATATTTGTATTTTTAGTTGAGATGGGGTTTCGCCATGTTGGCCAGGCTGGTCTCGAACTCCTGACCTCAAGTGATCCACCTGCTGCGGCCTCCCAAAGTGCTGGGATTACAGGCATGAGCCACCGTGCCCGGCTTAGGCAACCTTCTTGACACCTGCCGTGTGTCAGGCCCAGTGCCAGGCACGTTCCCCTCATCATCTCAGTTGGCCAGGCCAGAACCTTGGAGCCATTCTCCACCTCCGTCTCTGCTCACACCACAGCCAACCCAGCAGGAATCCCATCGGGCGATGTTGGCATAACGCATATGCAGAGCCTGATGGCTTCTCGCCAGCCCCACAGGGGCCGCCCTGAAGCACTGCAAATAGCCCCAGGTGCCCCCCGCATCCATGCTTCATCCACATGCAATCTTAGAGCGCGCGGGAGCCCGCTAAAGCCCAAGTCACCTCTCAGACCCAACGCCCTCCTCTGTGTGCCCACCTCCCCAAGAGAAAAGTCCAAAGTCATGATTGTGCTCTCCCTAAGGCCGCACACAGTCTGGGCCGCCCCTCTCTGCCTGGGTCTTACATACCCTAACCTCCCCAGCCTGCCCCACTGGCCTCTAGTAGCCCTTGCGCAGTCTCAGGCTTCTGCCTTGCCGGGCTGTCCTGTCCACCTGGGGTGGTTTTGTGGGCTGTCCCCTCCTTCAGGTCTGGACTCCAATGTCTGCTCCGCAGGGCCTTCCCGCATCACCCTAACTCAAAATGTCAATCCCTCAGTTCACCCCAATGACCCTGACGCTTCTTTCTCTGGTTTATCTTCCTTCAAAGCATTTACCACCACCTAACACACCATTTCCCTTTTTCTTTTCTTTTCTTTTCTTTTCTTTTCTTTTCTTTTCTTTTCTTTTCTTTTTGAGACAGGATCTCCCTCTGTCACCCAGGCTGGAGTGCAGTGGTACAACCTTGGCTCACTGCAGTCTCGACCTCCCAGGCTCAAGCGATCCTCCCACCTCAGCCTCCTGAGTAGCTGGCACCACAGGTGTGTACCACCATGCCTAGCTACAACACACTGTATCTTTTAAAATTATTTTGCTCATCATCTGTCCTCCTGCCCCAGGAGGTAACCTCTAAGAGCACAGGAATGTTTGTTTTTTGTGTTCTATTTTGTAACCCTCGCACGCTGAACATGAGCCCAGCCCATAACAGATACTCCATCAACATTTGTCAGTGGAACAAATCACAAAGCCACAAACATGTGAGCAGCCGGTGGTGCTATTACTGGCCTGGGATCAGGAGAGGCCGTGACCTGATCAGGAGAGGCCGTGACTCGCACAGAGGGGACGCAGGACCTCTGTGTGAGTGGCATGTTCCATGGCCGTCATCCCCAGGGACCTCCTGGGACACGTTTACCTGTCGTTTGAGGGCCCCAAGCCGGGTGAGGTCGGCCTCGAGTGTGTCGAAGTCTGCCTGAATCACCGACAGCTTTTCCTGCTTCTCTAGGAGGGAGCTGCTCACATTTCTTTGTGTTTCTTCCAGTTCCAGGACGGTTTTGGTGCACTCATCGGTGGCCTAGGAGAATCACAGGACCATGCTGGGCCCCTGCAGCCCGGCTACTTGGCGGACAGGGAAGAGTCAGGCTGGGAGGACCTGCCAGGCACCTTCCACACACTCCATCCAGGGAGGCTCCCAAAGAGGAATGGGAGGGCTGGAGAGGCGAGGCCTGGGAGATGCCAGGCCCAGCCAGCCCACACTGCACACTGCTCCTTTAAGGCAGGTGTGGCAGAGAGATGGGGGCCTGAGTGGTTCTGGGGCTCCCCGTGCAGTGGGTCTGTCCCCAGGCAGGAGACTGGCACAGTTCAGCAGCCGTGTGCCAAGGGCAGGGCTGAGGCTGTAAGGGCCGAGAGGCAGGCTGGGGAGCCTGGGAGAGAGGAGGGTGGGGGCCTCTGCTGAGGGAGGAGCGAGGCTGGGGCCATCTGTGTGGTGTTCGTTCCGCCTTCGGGGAAAGCAGCACAATTAAGAGAAAGAAAAGCCGGGCAGGCAGTGTTTGGCAGCTGACATGGTCCAGGGGGTGATGCAGGAGACACAGTGACTCTCAGGGCTGGCTGGGGACACGGAAGATCTTTGGGGTGGGGCTGGCAGGGGTGAGGACAAGGACCCATCAGTGATGGCGTCGTGTGGGGCGCAGGGCCTGGGGCTGGAGAACTTGAGTGTGGCTTGGAGCAGACAGGAGGTGAGGGGTGGGCATGGGGTCCTGGCAGGGGACTCAGGGGGTGCCCAGGGCAGCAAGGAGTGGTCAGGGGCCGGGCTAGGAAGCTGAGGGAGGGATGGACATCAGGAGTAGCCAATGTAGTGGAAAAGGACTGAGAAGAGGCCACTCTGCCGCCTCTCTCCAGAAACTTCCAGTTACTTCCAAATGAGCAGCCCATGCATGTCTGCCATTTTTGGCTAGCCTTTCCCTACAGGGATGACTTCAGCACTCTCCAGGGAACCCTCTGGGTGACTCTGAGAGGTGGGCACCCATTTCACAGGTCAGTAAACCAAGGCTCTGGGAGGTCAGACCGTATGCCCCAGTCAGGAATGGTCCAGCGTGGCTCCAAGCCATGCTGTCAGCTGTCCCCAAGGCCACCTCCCCACCCACGGCTGTGGTTGCTGTCACATTTAACTCTGCCCCTCCACCCCCCAGCAGACGAGGCCCTGCAGGTCTGGCAAGGCCCACATACTCCGAGGTCACACAGCGGGTCAGCGGGGCTGTGGGGCCAACCTGGGAAGTGTGAGTGCAGGGCCCCTGGCTGGCAACCGTTGAGGTGGTAAGCACCGGACAGCACCAGCTGGGCCCTCCCAGTGCAGGCCCAGTGGACATGGCCTGGGGTATGCGGATGCAGGCTCTCGAGGCGCCCACCCCGCTCCCATCAGCTGGTCCCCGGTGCCCACTCGGGCTCCCCAGCATGAGCTGGCCTCTTCCCCAGAACTCTATGCCTTCCCAATGCCACCTCCGATATGCAGGGAGGGGCTGAAACACGGCCGTCTCTGGGTGTCAGCAGCTCTGTCCGGTGCGGGCATTCTGCAGTCTCCCAGACAGGCCCCGTAGCAGCAGCAGGTTAGCAGTGCTGAGCACGCCCCTCTAACAGCCTCTGGATCCTCACCCCTGACCCCGAACCCAGCAGCAGGTTAGCAGAACTGGGGATGGTCTCTCTGCATCCTCACCCCAGACCCAGCACCCAGCAGCAGGTTAGCAGTGCTGAGCACGCCCCCACTGCAGCCTCTGCATCCTCACCCCGGACCCAGCAAGACGCCTTCCTGGAGTGTTCCTTGAATCCCAGAGAGAGGAGCAGGCGCCCTGTTTCCTTTCCGCTGCTCCCTACCTTGCGAACGTCCCTGATTTTCCGGCGCAGCTCAAGCTGCTTGTGGTGGAAGTCGGTGCGGGTGAGCGCCTTCCTGTCCATCTTGCGCTGCCCCTCGGCCTGGGTGGTGACGGTCTCTCTGCGGGCAACCGCCAACTCCATGGCACGGATCATCTTCTCCTGCTGCTTCAGCAGCTGCCCGAGCCTGACCTGGGAGACAGGACAGAGGGGCTGGGGCTGGGGCAGGCCTGAGCTGCAGCTGCAGAGAGAGTGGCCGGGGCGCTGGCCTCGCTCATCCTCCGGTGACACGCATGGGGATCGGCGGGGAAACAGTGAGGCCTGTGCCGCCAGGAGGAACAAGGGACATGGAGGCAGCAGCCCTGGGTGGGAACCCGGAATCCACAGGCAGACAGTGCAAGGTGGAGAAATGGCCGAGACCTGAGGCCACCAAGGAGATGTGAGAACTAAAAGCAACTAAGCCAGGGTCAGATCCTGCAGCAGAAAAAAATCTCATTGAGAAAATTGGTGAAATCTGATTAGAGTTTGTAGTTTGGTTAGCAGTATTGCATGAAGGTTAATTTCTTAGTTGTGACAATGCACCTTGGCTTGGGTGGAGGACCTGGGGCTGGGGACTGGGTTGTAGCGTGAGGATTGGCTGCGGGGGTGCACAGGAACTTTCTGGAGTCATAGAAAGGTTCTATGTCTTGATGGCGTCAGTGGCTACGTAGATGTGTGCGCGTGTTAGAACCCACCAAACTGTGCTTTTTTAAAAATTTTTTGAGACGGAGTCTTGCTCTGTCACCAGGCTGGAGTGCAGTGGAGCCATCTAGGCTCACTGCAACCTTCGCCTCCCGGGTTCAAGTGATTCTTCTGCCTCAGCCTCCTGAGTAGCTAGGATTACAGGTATCTGCCCCCAGGCCTGGCTAATTTTTGTATTTTTAGTAGAGATGGGGTTTCACCATGTTGGCCAAGATGGTCTCGATCCGCCCACCTTGGCCTCCCAAAGCTGGGATTGCAGGCATAAGCCACTGCACCCAGCCTTTTTATAAAAAAAATTTTTTGAGACACAGTCTCCTTCTGTTGCCCAGGCTGGAGTGCGATGGCACAATCTCGTCTCACCGCAACTTCCACCTCCCAGATTCAAGCAATTCTCCTGCCTCAGCCTCCCAAGTAGTTAGGATTACAGGCACCTGCCACCACGCCTGGCTATTTTTTTTTTTTTTTTCAGTAGAGACAGGGTTTCACCGTGGTGGCCAGGCTGGTTTTGAACTGACCTCAAGTGATCCACCCGCCTCGGCCTCCCAAAGTGCTAGGATTACAGGCGTGAGCCACCGCACCCAGCCCAAACTCTGCGTTTAAAATAAGCATATTTTATCTTATGAAAGTTATGCCTAAAGTTGATTTAAAAGAAAAAACAGGCAAGAATCCCGAAGATAAGCAGGGTGAAGGGAGACCAAGCTTACTCAGGTTTAAAATGTACCATAAAGTGACTTGGAGCCACACTAAGAAACACTAAAAAGTCTGTGTGGCAAAAGACCCCCTAAACAGAGGGCAAAGACAATGATAGGTCAGAGCCACTATTTTAATAGGTATTGAAGACAGGGGTTAATAACCGAATGTATAAGGAACTCCTAAAAAATGTTAAGAAATAAGAAAACAGGCCGGGTGCGGTGGCTCACGCCTGTAATCCCAGCACTTTGGGAGGCCGAAACCGGTGGATCACCTGAGCTCAGGAGTTTGAGACCAACCTGGCCAACATGGTGAAATCCCGTCTCTACCAAAAATACAAAAATTAGCCAGGCATAGTGGTGCACGCCTGTAATCTCAGCTACTCAGGAGGCTGAGGCGGGAGAATCACTTGAACCCCGGGAGGCAGAGGTTGCAGTGAGCTGAGATCGTGCCACTGCTCTCTAGCCTGGGCAACAGAGCGAGACTGTTTCAAAAAAAAAAAAAAGAGAAATAAGAAAACAGCCTAATATTAAAATCAGCTGGCCGGGCACAGTGGCTCACACCTGTAATCCCAGCACTTTGGGAGGCCGAGGCAGGTGGATCATCTGAGATCAGGAGTTCAAGGCCAGCCTGGCCAACATGGTGAAACCCCATCTCTACTAAAAATACAAAAAATTAGCTGGGTGTGGTGGCACATGCCTGTAGTCTCAGCTACTCAGGAGGCTGAGGCAGGAGAATTGCTCGAACCCAGGAGGTGGAAGTTGCAGCGAGCTGAGATGTGAGTGCCACTGCACTCCAGTCTGGACAACAGAGCAAGACTCTGTCTTAAAAAAAAAGGAAGTCGGAGGAATTTCGTAAGTATAGAGTTACAGAAATCAAGACAGCAGGGCATTGGTGAAGGGACAGAAACAGAAATCAGTAGAACAAAACAGCCCAGAAACGAACCCACACAAACGTGTCAGCTGATTTCAACAAGGACTGGACGGTAGTTCGGTGGAGGAAGGGCAGTCTTTTCAGGAAGCAAGCAGGGCTGACTCCAGTGGACATCCAAATGCAAAAAAAATTAACCCCAGTCCACAACTTGCACCATACACAAAAATTAACTCAAAATACATTATGGACCTAAATGTAAAACCTAAAAGCAGGAAGCTTCTAGAAGAAAACAGAAGAGAAGCTCTTCGTGACCTTCAGCTAGGCAGAGGCTCCTCAGATAAGCTACTGAAACGATCCATGAAAGAACAGACTGAGGGGTGGGTGCCGTGGTGTGTGCCCGTAATCCCAGCACTTTGGGAGGCCCAGGCAGGAGGATCCTTTGAGCCCACAAGGTCAAGGCTGCAGTGAGCCATGATTGCACCACTGCACTCCAGCCCGGGTGACAGAGCGAAACCCTGTCTCTAAAAAAAGAGAACAGACTGGGTAATTGGGCTTCACCACACAGAAGAATCTCAAATGCATGAGGCTAAGCAAGGAAAGTCAGGCTCAATATGTCTCACCCTATTTGATCCATTTATGTGACATTCTGGAAAAGCCAAAACGACAGGCATGGAGAGAGACTGGTGGCTGTCATGGCGGCTGGGGTATGCGGTGAGCTGACTACAGAGGGCATGAGGGAATTCGAGGATGAGGAAATATATCATGATGTGGCAGTGGCTACATGATTGTACGTCTCTATCAAAACTTGTAGGGCTGGCTGGGCACAGTGGCTCACACCTGTAATCCCAGCACTTTGGGAGGCTGAGGTGGGCGAATTGCCTGAGCTCAGAAGTTTGAGACCAGCCTAGGCAAAATGGCGAAACCCCGTCTCTACTGAAAATACAAAAAAATTAGCCAGGCATGGTGGCACACACCTGTAATCCCAGCTACTTGGGAAGCTGAAGCAGGAGAATCGCTTGAACTTGGGAGGCGGAGGTTGCAGCGAGCCGAGATCCCACCACTTCACTCCAGCCTGAATGACAGAGAGTCTGTCTCAAAGACAAAACAAAAAACAAACAGACAAAACAAAACAAAAAAACCCAGAAAATCCTTATAGGGCTGAATGCCCTAAGCTGTGAGCTTCCACTCAGCTGAAAAACCTCAATTAAAAAAAAAAAAAGATAGATAAATAACACCAGAACTGAGAAGAAGGTACAGATATGACTGCCGCCATGTGCTTTTTAGACAAGTAATCTGTCAGGCTGTTACAGTCAGAATTTATACACCCTTTGACCTAGTAATCTCACCTTTGGGAACATAGTCTAGAAGAAAAAAAAAAGAACCAGTAAGGAAGGATGTGATTATAATGCTGTGTGATGGCTGATTTTGGGTTAACCTAACTGGGCTAAGGAATGCCTGGATAGCTGGAAAAACATGATTTCTGTTTTGGGTAGAACTGTGAGGGTGTCCCTGGAAATGATTGGCATTTGAACAGAGTAAAGATCCCTCTTGCCAGGCTGGGTGACATCATCCAATCTGTTGAGGGCCTGAGGAGAAAAGGCAGAAGAAGGTGGTGGGACGGGGTGGGGGTGGGGGAACACTGGGCTGGGATGACACCGTTGCCTCCTTCTCAGGTCTTAGACTTGACTGAATCATGGGCTCTCCTGGGTCTGCAGATTAGATGCCGGATACTAGGACTTCTCGGCCCTCATAATCATAAGAGCCAATTCTCATAGTAAATCTCTCTTTCTTTCTCTCTCTCTCTCTCTGTGTGTGTGTGTGTGTGTGTGTGTGTGTGTGTGTGTGTGTAGTCTACTGGTTCTGTTTCTTTGGAGAACCCTAACACACATTGTGTCTAGGACAAAACAATAACACCAACAACAAATTGGAAACAACCTGAATTTTCACCAACCTGGGACTGGATCAATAAATTGTGAAATATCCATAGTATATATTGTAACTGTTAAAGAATGGGTTAGTAACCATGTAGGGCCAAGGCAAGCCCTGCCTGTGCATTTGTGTGAGATCCGAGAAGGTGAGAGGCCTTATCCCTGCAGCGGCTGACACAGTCGCCCTGGCTGAGGAGGGGGAGCCGGGGAAGAAGGGACAGGGAGGAGCAGCCCGGACCTTCTCTTTGGCCCCCACTCTGTGGAGGAGAGCTTGTCTTGCTCCAGCAAATACATGTGGCTTCTGTAATATGAAAAGTCAATTAAATTTGGTATTTTTAAACACAACATCTTATTAGCATATGCACTTGATCTGAAAAATAACTCAGCAGAGGAATTTCTATTTAGCATGGCATGGTGAAAGTGAGGCCCATTTATTTTATGAACTGCTCTTACTGTTATCCTTAAGGCCCTGAACCTTTAGCTTGATGACCACTTGCAATTTAATTACCAGCCTTTTAAAGGCAATGAAATCTAATTGTGACCATGGAGAGACAACGCGGCTGTGAAGGATGAGATGGGGGTGCTCTCTGAGCCCTTCTGTGGTGTGAGACTGTCTCACAGTGGGATACGTTAGAGGGTCACAAAGTTTGAGGGTTACAACCGGCATTTAAAAATACCAGCGTGCTGTGATTACATGGAGTAGGAATAAAACAGCGTTTTGTGAGATGACATGCACGTGCTTGTGTGTGTCCTGTGTTGTTCATGCACGTGCTTGTGTGTGTCCTGTGTTGTTCATGCACGTGCTGTGTGTGTCCTGTGTTGTTCATGCACGTGCTGTGTGTGTCCTGTGTTCGTGCACGTGCCTGCGCGCGTCCCTTGTTCGTGCACGTGCCTGCGCGCGTCCCGTGTTGTTCGTGCACGTGCCTGCGCGCGTCCCGTGTTGTTCGTGCACGTGCCCGCGCGCGTCCCGTGTTGTTCGTGCACGTGCCTGCGCGCGTCCCGTGTTCTTCGTGCACGTGCCTGCGTGCGTCCCGTGTTGTTCGTGCACGTGCCTGTGTGCGTCCTGTGTTGTTCTGCAATATTTCTGCACATTAAAAGCAAGCGTGTGGTAAAAGCTGGGTCAAGGGGGACGTGCGCTTTGCCAGTGCTCGGCTGGAGTGCAGGTCACTCTGCTGGAGCGGGTCGCTCCCTGGAAATCTCACCCATTGCCACCAGCCAATGTGGCCAGTGTGGTTCCCACAGGAGCCCCGGGAGAGCCGAGGCCTTGGTGTGGCCAGGTCTCCAGAGCCCAAGGGCTGGCACCCAGCAGGCCCTGCCACGCCGCTCTCCTCCCCTCACCTTCATCCTGTGGATCTCGCCCTTCATGGCCCGGATCTCCGTCTGGCCGATCTCGGAATCCACTGAGGAACGCATCTCTTTTGCCAGTTGGATTTTTTTCTCCCAAAGCATAATCTGGTGTCTTTAGAGGTAGGAGAGGCAGTGTAAGAAATTAGGAGTTTTCTTCTGATGCTTCGGTGAGCTCACACTCTAAGGCTTTACAAGGCTCTCAAGCTGCAATGGCAGAGCCAAGCAGCTGCGACAGAAAGCGTGAGGCTCTCAAAGCCTGAAGTGTTCACTACTGGGCTCCTTATGCAAACGTTTGCCAACCTCTGGCATACAGGGGGAGGGAGGGAGATGGGGGTGGGGAAGAAACAGAGAGACAGAGAGAGAGAGAACAGGGATATATAACTGTAGGAGCTGAGAAAGTCAGTATAATTGATAGAAGCTGACTTAAGAAAAAGTAAAAAGCCTGAATACACCAATAGTCTAAAAGCTATTTAAATGTCACCAAAGATACAAGCCCCCCAAAGCATTGGTCCCAGATAATTTTTTGCCTAGATTCTATCAAACCGCAAGGAACAGGCGATCCCTGCGCTATTCATCCCTTCCGGAGCACGCTGAAGAAAGGACGGTGCCTCCACACCACGCCTGCTCCGCACCCTTTCCACAGGGAGATATGGGCCCACGTGTGTGACACGGAAAGATGGCCATGAAAATACTAAAGTGCTTCAAGGGGGAACTTCTGAAACAATCCCATTTGTGTAAAAAACAGAGCAAAACAAGAAAGGAATATAGCTACACATTGGTTTTCTGGGAAGTGAAGGGCGTTGGAATTATATGCAATTTTCCCTGGGTACTTTGCACGCATTGTATAGTTTAAAATGTTTAGAGCTGGGTGTGTGTTACTTTAATAATCAGACACCATAAAATAATGGATACTTAAAAACTTTATCACAAAGGAAACCCTTCAATTTCTAGCAGTAACTCGTTTGGCTCAAGAACTGCCACCAAGGGGGGTAGACAGACTCTGTGGGGAATCTGGGATCCACTAGGGTGGGTTCCAGACCCATGCCCAGGTGGTCTTTTTCTTCTTTTAGAGACAGGGTCTCGCTCTGTCGCCCAGGCTGGAGTGCAGTGGTGCAATCCTAGCTCACTGCAGCCTTGACCTCCTGGGCTCAAGCGATCCTCCCACCTCAGCCTCCCGAGTAGCTGGGACTACCGGCATGCACCACCATGCCTGGCCAATTTAAAACATTTTTGTAGATATGGGGTCTCACTGTGTTGCCCCGTCTTGTCTTGAACTCCTGGCCCCAAAGGAGCCTCCTGCCTTGGCATCCCAAAGCACTGGGATTGCTGGGCACGGTGGCTCATGAATGTAATCCCAGCGCTTTGGGAGGCTGAGGTGGGCAGATCACCTGAGATCAGGAGTTCAAGACCAGCCTGGCCAACAGGGTGAAACCCCATCTCTACTAAAAATACAAAAATTAGTGAGGCATGGTGGCGGGCACCTGTAATCCCAGCTACTCAGGAGGTTGAGGCAGGAAAATCACTTGAAGCTGGGAGGCAGAGGTTGCAGTGAGCTGAGATCGCACGGCTGCACTCCAGCCTGTGGGATAGAGCAAGACTGTCTAAAAACAAAACAAAACAAAACAAAAAACAAAACAACAACAAAAAATGACCAAAGCACTGGGATATGGGTGTGAGCTGCCACACCTGGCCTCCTACATGGTCTTCAACGGACAGAGGCCTGTAGGTGCAGTGACCTTCATGACCCACGTGTGGCTGGAGACTGGGACTCACTCTGCTTCCACCAGTTGATTCAGGAGGGTCGCCTTCTCCTCGCTGAGCTGGTTCAGCTTGTCCTGCATCTTGATGGTCTCCCTCTCAGAGGCCTGCATGGGGGAGGGGGCGGGACAGCTGTGGGGAGGGCCATGGGATTGTGGATGCCGGGGCTGGTGCCCTCTATCCCGGCACCGAGGGCAGGGCTGCAGGCTGGATTTCTAATACCCCTACAAGCATCTTGAACGGGTGTGGAAATTACATCCTGGTGCAGAACGCCCACCGCAAGGACCGTACCCCCGCCCTCCATCGTCCTGAGCCCCGGGACTGCGTGGACACGGCCGGACCTTCAGCGAGCGCACGAACTCATTCTCTGTCACCCGGTTGTTCTGCTCCAGCTCCTCCGAGCTGCACCGGTTTTTATTCATCAACATGTTGAGCTTCTTCAGGTCGTTGTCCAGGTCCTTCATGTGGTGCTCGATCTCCTTCTGCTCCTTCTTCTCCTGCTCAATCTTGCCTATGGCAGAAAACAGAGACTCAGGGAGAGACCCCAGGAGGGTACGGGTCCTCGCCCGCAGGCAGCAGTGTCCGAGAGGTGAGCCAGGTTTTGTCTCTCCCTGTAGCTCCCTTCATCCCCTCCCTCTTGTCGTTCCTGGCGCTCCTGCCTGAATCTCGTCCCTGCCAGGACAGAGGAGAGGAGAGGACAGGGGGTCTCTTTTTGGCTGCTAAGCTCCCAAAGCCTGGTCCTCCAACGGAACTGAGAGGACCTGCCTGTGGGGACAGCCAGCAGGTGTGGGCAGGGCGTGTGGGAGGGCCAGGCTCCCTCCCCCAGACACTTGCAAATCTGTGGAGCACCGGGACCTGGTTGATGCTCAGACACTGTGAGTCTCCAGGAGAGGGAGGCCCTTAGACCCCTGCCCTGCCCCAGCCAAGCTCAGGGGTAGGGGCAGAAAACAACAGCTCTTCTTGATGTTAAGATGGGTGGAGGGCACAAGAGGCCACAGCTGGTTCATCCGCTGGCCACTCCTCACAGGGCTTCTCCAGCTCCTCCTGCTGTCCCCATGGTGTGCCCTGACTACCCCAGGACATGGGCATGTGAGCCCCTCTCTCTGCCCTCTCCATGGGTGATCCTCCCCATCTCACAGCATGGTATTTCGGCAGCTCTTGCCTTGGGACACCGATACTCAGCTGACAGCTCCATAGGGTCTTTTGGGACTTGCTACTCACCAACAGACGGGTTTGGGCAACCCAAGAAGGGCAGGGCGAGAGGCAGCAGGACCTCCGAGAAGGGCACATGATGTGTCTGGGCAGCATTTCCCATGGGGGCTCTGCTGCAGGCCTGACCAGCATGGATCCCCGACCCAAGACCGGGCAGGACCCGGGATGTCTCGGCAGGTGGACATGTGGGTGGAGAGTGGTCCAGGAAGGATGCCCGCCTCCATCATTCCAGGCACCCTGGTGCTTTGGCAGCCCCTTGGGCCTCAGAAGGGTTGGGGAGCCCCGGTGGAATGGTTTTCTAAGCCCAACTGGAGGTGATGTGGGGACAGCACCAGGAGCCTGCCTGGCAGGACCCTGGCTTTTCCCGTGCCAGTGTTTCCACCTGAGTGCCCTGGCTTGGCGGGGATGATAACCTTCCATGCTCCTCTCTCAAGGAGAGCTCTGAAGTCCGTGAGCTTGGAGCCATTTCGTGACATTTCTCAACCCTCCCGCTGTGACTGCGAACTGGGCAGCTGGGCAGGCAGTGGTTCACATTTACAAAATACAGGGAGCATGCGCGTTTGTTATTTGCTTTTAAGGCTGCGTGCAAATCCAGCGACGTGCCCCACTGAGTGCCCCTCCCCTGGGAGGTGCCCACGTCCCAGAGCTCGTCTCAGCATCACTGCAGGGCCGGGCACGGCGGCTCTTACTTTCTACTCGTAGTTTCTTCTGCTCCATGATGTGGAGCTCCTTCTTGGATGCGTCCAGGGAGGCCAGCTGCTCCTCCTGCTCCTGTGTCACCTTGACCATCTCCTGCTGCAGGCGCAGCCAGGTCACCTGGGCCTGGACCGCCTTGCCATCGTGCTCGTCGATCAGCTTGCTCAGCCTTTTGATTTCAAGCTCCAGGGGCCCCACTTCTTCCCCCTAGACCGGATATTCATCAAAAAGCAAAATTAGGGCTGGGCGCAGTGACTCACGCCTGTAATTCCAGCACTTTGGGAGGCTGAGGCGGGTGGATCACCCGAGGTCAGGAGTTCAAGACCAGCCTGGCCAACAGGGTGAAACCCCGTCTCTACCCAAAATACAAAAATTAGCCAGGTGTGCTGGTGCACACCTGTGGTCCCAGCTACTTGGAAGGCTGAGGCAGGAGAATCGCTTGAACTCAGGAGGCAGATGTGCAGTGAGCAAGATGGCACCACTGCACTCCAGCCTGGGCAATAGAGCAAGACTCCGTCTCAGAAAAAAAAAAAAAAAAAAAAAGCAAAATTAGCCTTCTTGGGCTCAAAGGTCTTTGTGAGTGGGCTGCAGAGGGCCTGGAACCCTGAGGTCATGAAACTGGACGAAGGCCGAGGGGCTCAAGTTAGCTCTCAGCAGGGCCGCAAGCCACAGACCCCGCTGGAGGAAATATGGCTAAGGGGCTCTGGAGCCCCCTCTAGCTTCCCCATGGTGGGTGCGCTGGCAGGGTGGGTGGGGCCTCTGGAACCCAAAGGGGCTTTGAGAGTACAGGGACCTGGATGACGTATATGGCATCAGGCCTCAAACGCATTAGGCCACTTTTCTTAGAGCAGCAGAATATTTCGTGCTGGGTGAAAATTATTTGGAATTCAGACTTCAGTGGCCTTGAATAACATCTGATTGGACACAGCCGTGCCCATTCCTTTACGTTTTACCTATGCTCCTTCTCGCTATGGAGGCAGAGCCGTGTCACTGCCAGAGAGACCAACTGGCCACAAAGCCGGAATACTCTCTGGCCTTGTGCAGAAAAATGTGACTTAGAGCGCTTGGCACACGTGCCATTTTGTCTGTAAAGCAGGTAGGGAAAGAGGCAGTTCTGTGCCTTCCAGGAGTTCATGTCTGACCGTGGGGGATCTGAGGGGGCTCTGCCCCACCAGGCACCACAGTCAGCCGGGGACCACGTCTCCCTGCCTGGGACCTCACCCCCAGCTCGGAGACCATCCGCTCCAGCTGCTTGTTGAGGAAGTTGATGAGCCCTTGCTTCCTCTCGATCAGGATCGTGCGCCGGGAGATCTCGCTCTGGCTGTTGGTGATGAGCTCGTTGACTTTCTTCACGTCCTGGTCCAGCTCCACCAGGGTCTTCTGGTGTGCGTCCAGCCTGCTGCTGGTGTGTGTGATGTCCAGGGTGGTCTGGGCAATGTCACCGTTGATTTTGGAAAGATGTGTCATCTGAATTGATGAAAAGAAATACCTGTGAATATTGCCCCCACCCAAGGCCCGGGACGAGTTTGCTGATCCACCGTTCCCTGACGGTCGGGATGTTCCTCTGGAGATATTCCAAACGCACAGTCACGAGTGCAGGAGGCTGGATTTCCCACTGTCTCCAGGACCCAGCAAGGGACCTACTTGTTGGAACCCAGATGTTGGCTTTTTACAGAAAAGAGAGATCATGGTATTAGCTTTTCTTATTGATGTGGTTTGGCTGTGTCCCCACTCACATCTCATCTTGAATTGTGTCCCCATAATCCCACATGTCAAGGGAGGGCCCCTGTGGGAGGTGACTGGACCATGGGGGCCGCTACCCCCATGCTGTTCTCATGATAGTGAGTTCTCATGAGATCTGATGGTTTTGTGTGTTTGACGGTTCCTGCTTCACACACACTCTCTCTCCTGCTGCCTTGTGAAGGAGGTGCCTGTTTCGCCTTTTGCCATGATTGTAAGTTTCCTGAGGCCTCCCCAGCCATGCAGAACTGTCAGTCAATTAAACCTCTTTCCTTTATCAGTTATCCAGTCTTAGGTATTTCCTACAGCAGTGTGAGATCAGACTAACACACTTCTTAAATCGTAGCACACACATTGTGAGGAAATGTGAAAATACAGGCCAGGACAGAGAACACATTCAATTGCCTGCAATTCTGACACAAGTTAGCTACCATTCCCATCTGAATCCATTTTTCCTCCCAGTCTTTTCTATATAATTCTCCAAAATAAAAATAGGATCACACCCTACACACTGGGTGCTAACCTGCTTTTTAATCTGGTAAGTCGGGTCTTATGTTCCTGTGCTCTGTAAGCTGTAATGGCTGTGCTGTACTCTATCACATTTGCAGCATAGTTTATGAAGCAAGAAGCAATTGTTAGACACTGGTTCCTCCATGCGTTCTGACCCCTCCTGCTGTCCGGCAGGTCTGAGCCGCCAGTGCTGGCCTCCTCTGTGGGCTCTTTGGAGGCATTAGACAGACTTTGGATCCCTTCTGGCAACGGGGGGTTTATCGAGAGGACGTTTGTGATAATCAGGAGTGAGGCAGTGGCAGTCACAGCTGCAATGGTGTGGCCAAAGCTGCTCTGGGAACAGGGAGATGCTGTCACCACCAGGACAGGGTCCTCTTCCCCAGGGCATGGTTCTAACAGGTGGCCTCGGGCCCTGTGTCTGCCCTGAGCACCCCTGCCCGTCGGCTCCTGCCACACAAGGCCTTGGCTCTCTCACGACTGTGGCTCCTGCCTACCCCAGCCTCCTCAGGGCCATCTGAGCTTCTCCTCCCGCCACGCCTGTGGGCTCCATGTCTCTCACTGGCCACCACGGGCGGCTTCCCAGGAGACCCAATGTCCCCAGGTGGTGGAACCCAGACCCTGCCCACCTGGAGTGGAAGCTTCCGGCATCTGGAGTTGTGTGGCAATGTCAGCTCGCAGCCTCCTCCTCTGCCAAGTTCACCCTGAGATCTGGGCCCCCCAAGGACTCCCTGCCTCCCCCCTCCCCAACTGCCCTGCAGGGGCTATGGCTCCAAGTCCCCTTCAGTCCCTCCCCGTCACAGCCGGGCCTGCACCCCCGCTCCACTCCTGGCTGTTTGTGGTCTCTGTGGAGCCCACCCTGGCTCCCCCTAGGCATCTACACCATCCCTGGATTAACTGCCTGGACCCCGTGGTTGACCCCAGCTCCGGATGGGTGGTCCCGCCCATCCACACTTTGCTCCTCCTCCCAGATATGCCTCCCCACCCCACCTTCTATCAGCCCATGAGGCTTTGAGCAGTTCAAACATCGTGTCGGGGGTACTCTTTTCAGCAGCTGGACTGGCATCGGTTGGAAAATTGTCGTAATAGACGAATGTGTTGGTCCAAGACTCTTTGCTGCCCTCTTCTGGAAACTGGCAGCAAAACACGTATGACCTATCGGGCTGCCCAGACAGGGGCTCGGCGGGGGCCCGGGGGCCTGGGGATTGGGAACTGGACTTGGCTGGTAGCAGCACGGCTGGATGGGCTCCTTCACACCCACCACGCCCTTCAGCTCTGCCTGGCCAGCTCCTTTCCCACCCCTCAGGAGGGCAAAACCGGCAGAGCTTGGCATCGGGAATCTGTCACCCTCCTCTGAGACTAAAATGGGGACTGTTGGGCAGGCCCCACTGCTAGGATGTGCTCTGGAAATGGTGGAGCCTGTGGTAGCCTCTGGGGGTCCTCCAAAGGGGCCTGCTTGAGGCGGGGTGTTGGGGAGGCGGTCACCCCTCGGGAAGAGGCAAAGAAAAAACAATTCAAGTAAGGAATTGTTTTTTCTAAGGACACAAGTCCCCTCCACCCCCACCACAGGTGATAAAGGATAAAGCAAGATCCCAGGGGATGCGAACATGAGCTCACAATTGGGGGTTCCCTGCCATGGACGTCGAAGTCACACTCCAGGTCCCCCCAGGGAAATCAGCCTTTGGCTGGCAGCTGGCCATGCGGTGGCTCACGCCTGTAATCCCAGCACTTTGGGTGGATCACAAGGTCAGGAGTTCGAGGCCAGCCTTGCCAACATGGTGAAACCCCATCTCCACTAAAAATACAAAAACTAGCCAGGCATGGTGGCGCACGCCTGTAATCCCAGCTACTCGGGAGGCTGAGCAGGAGAACTGCTTGAACCCAGGAGGCAGAGGTTGCCGTAAGCCAAGATGGCACCACTGCACTCCAGCCTGGGCGACAAGAGCGAAACTCCATCTCAAAAAAATCAATAAATAACAACAAAATAAAATAAGATAAAATAAAAACTAGAAACAGCATAAAGTGCCTAACAAGAGACTTAGTAAACAAAATATGTACATTTGCAGGATAAGATGTTATACAGAAATGAAAATTTAGGTTTTTGAAGAATATTTGGTGGCATGAGGAAATGTTATGTTGAATATGGTCAATACAACAAAATGAAAAACTATACAAGTAACAAAGATTCATTGGCTCCTGTTCTCTCTGTGTCATAGTTCAGTGATATTAATCACAAGTGGATGCAGACAGACCAGGGGGCTGGGCACAGTGGCTCAGGCCCAGAATCCCAGGGCTTTGGGAGGCCAAGGTGGCAGGGCCACTTGAGCCCGGGAGATTCAAGACTGCAGTGAGCTGTGATTGTGCCACAGCCTGGGCGACAGAGCGAGACCCTGTGTCAAAAAATAAAATACATAAATACATAAGAAAAAGAAAATGGGCCTGAGTCCAGTGTTGCGTAAGGTGTGTGCTTGTGTGTGTGTGTTTGTAGGAGTTTGAGTGTGTTTGTGTTTGTAGGCGTTTGTGTGTGTAGGAGTTTGAGTGTGTGTTTGTAGGAGTTTGTGTGTTTGTAGGAGTTTGAGTGTATGTGTGTGTAGGAGTTTGAGTGTGTGTGTAGGAGTTTGTGTTTGTAGGAGTTTGAGTGTGTGTAGGAGTTTGAGTGTATGTGTGTGTTTGTAGGAGTTTGAGTGTGTGTGTAGGAGTTTGAGTGTGTGTGTGTGTAGGAGTTTGAGTATGTGTGTAGGAGTTTGAGTGTATGTTTGTGTGTGTAGGAGTTTGAGTGTGTGTGTGTGTAGGAGTTTGAGTGTATGTGTGCAGCAGTTTGTATGTTTGTGTGTGGGTGTAGGAGTTTGAGTGTGTGTGTGGAGTTTGAGTGTGTGTGTGTAGGAGTTTGAGTGTATGTGTGTGTGTGTAGGAGTTTGTGTGTGTGTAGGAGTTTGAGTGTATGTGTGTGTAGGAGTTTGAGTGTGTGTGTGTAGGAGTTTGTGTGTGTTTTTATGAGTTTGTGTTTTCTTGTGTGTGCATGGGGGCATGTGCAATTGCATGTGTGTTCGTGTGTGCGAATGTGTGTGTGTGAGAATGACGTGTTTGTGGGTGGGTGCAAATGTGTTTCTGTATTAAAAATTTCCAGAAGGAAGTTTACCAAATTTAAAAAAAAGTTGCCTCTGGATGGTGGGCCTAGAGCTGTCTCATTTTCTTCTTTATGCCTTTCTGTATTTCTAAGTTTTCTTTTTTTGAGATGGAGTCTTGCTCTGTCACCCAGGCTGGAGTGCAGTGGCACGATCTCAGCTCACTGCAACCTCTGCCTCCCAGGTTCAAGCAATTCTCCTGCCTCAGCCTCCCGAGTAGCTGGGATTATAGGCGCACACCACCACGCCTGGCTAATTTTTTGTATTTTTAGCAGAGACAGGGTTTCTCCATGTTGGCCAGGCTGGTCTCAAACTCCTGACCTCAGGTGATCCACCTGCCTTGGCTTCACAAAGTGCTGGGATTACAGGCATGAGCCACCACACCTGGCCTATTTCTAGGTTTTCTACAGTAAAAATGTATCACCCTTACAACCTGAACACCATGGAAAGGAGTGAGCACAGGAGGGCCCTCTGCTCACACTGACTCCGCCCTCTCCGCCTCCAGGACGGCTTGCCCTCATATGCCCAGGCTGCAGGGGGCTTCGCACAGCCCCTCCCTGGGGCAGGGGCCTACCATGTTGGTCTTCTCCTTCTGCAGCCTCAGGATGAGCTGGTTGAAGTATTTGGTGGTCTTGTTGGAGGTCATGTGCTCCTGCAGCTTCTCCCGGATGGCAGCATCCGTCTTCCTCCTGAGCTCCAGCTCGCCCTGGATGGCTTGGCGGATGGCCTGCAACTCCTCCGTGAGTATCATTTGTTCCTGGAGACAAGGAGCCACAGGGTGCACGTGCCTGAAGAGGCACCACCGTGCGCCAGGTGTGACCTGTGGGGCGGGCCCGGCCTCACCAGCTGGTCCTGGCTGAGGGCATCCTCTGTGTCCTGCAGGGTGAGCCTGTAGGTATTGAACTGGCTCTGCAGGGCCACCTGCTTGGTCAGGCACTGGGTGGTGAGCTTCTGCAGCAGTGTGGCTTCCGTCTCTGTCCGGTTCAGGATGCTCGCCAGCTTCTCGTTCTTTTCTTCCTCCTTCATGATGGATTTCTTATAGGCCTCAATCTCGCCGTCGGTGGATTTGGCTTGATGCTGGCATCCTCTGTAGAAATGCAGCGGGGAGAGCCAGTTACGTGTGAGACATCAGAGAGCCAGTGCACAGAGCTGCGCCCCACACGAGGGAGCTCACTAAGGCGAACTCAATGCACAGAGAAATAAATTAGGAAGCCAACTCTTATTTATTTATTTATTTATTTATTTTTTGAGACAGAGTCTCACTCTGTAACCCAGGCTGAAATACAGTGGTGCGATCTCGGTTCACTGCAACCTCCGCCTGCCGGGTTCAAGCGAGTCTCATGCCTCAACCTCTTGAGTGGCTGGGATTACAGGTGTGCGCCACCATGCCCGGCTAATTTTTAAACTCTATTTGTAGAGATGGGGTTTCACCGTGTTGCCCAGGCTGGTCTCCAACTCCTGAGCTCAAGCAATGTGCCTGCCTTGGCCTCCCAAAGTGCTGGGATTACAGGTGTGAGCCGCTGCACCCAGCAGGAAACCAACTCTTTTAATAGCAGCCAAATCTTTAAAAAATTTTTATGGATAGATTGGCACATATTTGAGAGGTACATGCGATATTTTGACACAAGCATACAGCATGTCATGATCAAATCAGGGGAACCGGCCATCTATCACCTCACACATGATCCTTCCTTCGTGTTGAGAACATTCCAAATCTTTTCCTCTAGCTATTCAGAAATATACACTAACTTACCGTGAACTGTAGTCACTGTGACATGCTATTGAACACTGGGCCTTGTTCCTTCTCCCTCACTGTATTTTTGCAGCCAATAGCCAAATCTTGACTATTATTTTCAAATAGATCAAGAGAACTATTATCTATTGAAAGCCCAAGTTGACAACTCTTTTGTACTGTGATTATGGGGAGAAGGAAAGTGACGCATGGGTCAGACGTTGGGCTAGGGGTTCTCATCTGCCCACCTTCCTTAACCATGACAATAATCCTAGGAAGGAAATAGTCCAGCTTTACAGATGTGGCCATTGAGACTCAGAGCATTTCAATCACTAGCCCAAGGTCTGCAGGAAACAGCGTGGCTGAGGGAACACCAGTGGGCCCACTTCAAATTCTATTGTCTTTCCCCTCGGCATGCTGCGATGAGATACCTGTAATTAACGTCAAGCTCTAAAACACAGATATCGGATAATCAGATCTAAAATACTGATTCAAATGAAATAATCAGATTCAAATCCTGTATTTGTTGGAGTGCAGAGGCACGATCTTGCCTCACTGCAACCTCTGCCTCCTGGGTTCAAGTCATTCTTACGCCTCAGCATGAGGATTTGAATTTTGTGTGTGTGAGGCATGTTTTCCTATTATTCTGAGATGTTCTGCGGTACTTTAAACATTCCTTTCATTCCTTTCTTTCTTTTTTTTTTTTTGAGACAGTCTCTCACTCTGTTACCCAGGCTAGAGTGCAATGGCATGATCTCAGCTCACTGCAGCCTCAAGCCACTCAAGTAGCTGGGATTACAGGTGTGTGCCACCATGCCCAGCTAATTTTTGTATTTTTGTAGAGATGGGGTTTCACCATGTTGGCCAGGCTGGTCTTGAACTCCTGACCTCAAGTGATCCACCTGCCTCGGCCTCCCAAAGTGTTGGAATTACAGGTGTGGGCCACTGCGCCTGGCCATCCAGTATTTTTTTTTTTGAGACAGAGTCTCGCTCTGCCACTCAGGCTGGAGTACAGTGGCGCGATCTCGGCTGACTGCAACCTCCTGGGTTCAAGCGATTCTCATGCCTCAGCTGCCTGAGTAGCTGGGACCACAGGCGTGTGCCACCATGCCTGCCTATTTTTTTTTTTTTTTGTATTTTTAGTAGAGACAGGGTTTCGCCCTGTTGGCCAGGCTGGTCTCGAACTCCTGACCTCAAGTGATCCACCTGCCTCAGCTTCCCAAAGTGATGGGATTACAGGCATGAGCCACCGTGCCTGGTGATCCAGTATCTATTTTTAATGTGTGTGGATATTTATTGATCCACTGATGAGATCAGAAAAAGCCAAAAAACAGGAAAGGGCCTCATTATGGATCGATGAGGATGATTAAATTATGGCACAGGCATCATTTAGAACACAGTGTGAAGAGAACTGCAAAGAACAACGGTGATTTCTATGTGTTCTGACATGGAATAACTCTAAGACACAGCACAAGAAACACCAAGCTGCAGAGCGGGACACACTAAGCGGCCGCGGGTGATTTTTAAGTGGAGAGATAAACACCCGAGAATAATGCATATGTATGAACGAAATCTATCTGGAAAGACCTTTATGAAACAGTAACAGGTTGCTTGGGAAAGAGAATTGAAAGACTGGGGAGAGATGTGAGAAAAATATGGAAGGTATTATTCTAGTCCAAGAAGAAAGTACTTTCTGACTATTTGAATAAAAACTTATTCAAAGGATAAGACACTATCAATAGAGAAAGGAAGCCTGGCCCACATGACAAAACCCCATCTCTACTAAAAATACAAAAAAAATTAGCCGGGCGTGGTGGTGTGTGGCTGTGTTCACAGCTACTTGGTACACTGAGGCATGAGAATCACTTGAACCCAGGAGGCGGATGTTGCAGTAAGCTGAGATTGTTCCGCTGCACTCCAGCCCAGGTGATAGAGCAAGACTCTGACTCAAAAAAAAAAAAAAAAAAAGATACTGATACTGGAGAGATTTGCCATGTCCATGAAGCAGAAGATTTAATATTATTAAGGCCTCAATTCTCTTCAAACTGATCTATGGATTCAATGTAATTTCAGTTACATCCCAGAAGGCATTTTTTCCCCAGAAATTGACAAGCAAGTTTTAAAATTTAAATGGAAACCTAAAGGACCTAGAGTAACCAAAATAATTTTGTAAAACAACATCAAAGACTCAGACTATCTGATTTCAAGATTTTCCATAAAGCTCTAGTTAGAAAGACAATGTGGTATTGGTGAAAGAATGACAAAAAGATCAACGGAACAGAATAGAGAGTCTGGAAACAGACACACACACACAATACATTGATCTTTGACAAAGGTGTCACAGGATTTCAATACGGAAAGGACAGTCTTTTCAACAAGTGGTGCTGGGACAACTAGAGAGAGACACACAAAACCTGAGCCTGGACCCCGCTCATACCACAACAAACGTGAACTTGAAATGGACCAGATGCCTAAAAGCGAGACCTGGAAAACTTTAGTGGAAAACTTGGGAGAAAATCTTCGTGACCCTTAGACATTTCTTTTTCTTTCCTTTTTTTTTTTTTTTTTTTGAGACAGAGTCTCGCTCTGTTGCCCAGGCTGGAGTGCAGTGGCGTGATCTTGGCTCCCTGCAAGCTCCGCCTCCCAGGTTCATGCCATTCTCCTGCCTCACCCTCCCAAGTAGCTGGGACTACAGGCGCCCGCCACCACGCCCGGCTAATTTTTTGTATTTTTAGTAGAGATGGGGTTTCACCGTGTTAGCCAGGATGGTCTCAATCTCCTGACCTCGTGATCCGCCCACCTTGGCCTCCCAAAGTGCTGGGATTAGAGGCATGAGCCACACTGTGCCCGGCCTGACCCTTAGAGATTTCTTAGAGAAGACATAAAAAGCATGAATCAGGAAAGAAAATATTTAATAAGTTGGACTTCACAAAAATTTAAAACTTTTGCTCTTCAAAAGACACTGTAAAGAGGTAAAAAAGACAAAGCCACAGACTGGGACAAAAATATTTTCAAAGCACACGTCTGATAAAAGATGTCTCCAGAAGATATGAAGAACTCTTACAACTCAATGATAAGCCACTCAGCGGAAAAATGAGCAGAAGTTGCTTCACCAGAGAAGGCACAGGAATAGCGAATAAGCCGGGGAAGAGATGCTCACCATCGCTAGTCATTAGGGACACGCAGGCTCAGACCGCAAGGCGATGCACCACACATTTGCTAATGGCTATATTTGATGGCTAAAATTAGATGACTGATAATACCAAATGTTGGCGAGGATGTGGAACAACTGGGACTCTCATAAATTGCTGGAGAAAATGCAAATTGGAACCAGTCACTTGGGAAAACACCGCAGCAGCTGTTTTATTGTTTATTTTTGAGACGGAGTCTCGCTCTGTCACCCAGGCTGGAGTGCAATGGCGCAATCTCGGCTCACTGCAACCTCCACCTACCAGGCTCAAGGGATTCTCCTGCCTCAGCCACCCAAGTAGCTGGGATTACAGGCATGCACCACCATACCCAGCTAATTTTTGGTATTTTTGGGTAGAGATGGGGTTTTGCCATGCTGCCCAGGCTGGTCTCAAACTCTTGAGCTCAAGTGATCCGCCTCAGCCTCCCAAAGTGCTGGGATTACAGGTGTGAGCCACCACGGCCGGCAAGCATTTGTTATAAAGTAAAATGTATGTTGAGCCGGAACCTTGGAGATACTGCAGGTTCAGTTGCAGGCCACCGCAATTAAGCAAGTATCACAGTAAAGCAAGTCACACAATCTTTTTTGGTTCCCCAGTGCATACAGAAGGTGCATACTTTACTGTAGTCTATCAAGCGTGCAATAGCATCATGTCTAAAGAATGTACTTACTTTAGGCTGGGCGTGGTGGTCCACACCTGTAATCCCAGCACTTAGAGAGGCTGAGGCAGGCAGATTACCTGAGGTCAGAAATTCGAGACCAGCCTGGCCAACATGGTGAAACCCTATTTCTACTAAAAATACCAGGTGTCGTGGTGGGCACCTGTAATCCCAGCTACTGAGGAGGCTGAGATAGGAGAATCCCTTGAACCCAAGAGGCAGAGGTTGCAATGAGCTGAGATCACACCACTGCACTCCAGCCTGGGTAATGGAATGAGACTCTATTTTAAAAAAGAAAAAAAAAACAAACTTTATTGCTAAAAAATGCTAACAATCACCTAAGTGTTTATCAAGTCATACTTGATAAAGTATGCTGGTAGAGGGTCTTGCATTGATGTTGCTGGCTGCTGACTGATGAGGGTGGTGGTTGCTGAAGGCTGGGGTGGCTGTGGCAATTTTTTTTTTTTTTTTTTGAGACAGGCTCTGACTCTGGCTCTGTCACCCAGGCCGGAGTGCAGTGGTGTGATCTTGGCTTATTGCAAATTCAGCCTCCTAGGCTCAAGCCACCACCTCCCTCAGCCTCTCGAGTACCTGGGACTACAAGTGCACACCACCACACCTGGCTAATTTTTGTATTTTTTGTAGAAATGAGGTCTCACCATGTTGCCCAGGCTGGTCTCAAACTCCTGAGCTCAGGTCATCTGCCTGCCTTGGCCTCCCAAAGTGTTGGGATTACAGGTGTGAGTCACCCCACCTGGACGGCAATCTTAAAATAAGACAATGGATTGACTCTTCCTGCCACATCCATTGCCACATGGATCGACTCTTCTTTTATGAAAGATTTCTCTGTAGTATGTGATGCTGTTTGATAGGATTTTACCCACGCAAGACCTTCTTGCAAAATTGGAGTCAGTCCTCTCAAACCCTGCTGCTGCCTCATCAACCAAGTTTATGGAATATTCTAAATTCTTTGTTAATTTCAACAATGCGCATGGCATCTTCACAGGAGCAGATTCCACCTCAAGAAAACGCTCATCCGTAAGAAGCAACTCCTCATCCATTAAAGTTTGATCATATGAACACAGCAATTCCATCCCATCTCAGCTCCACTTCTCATTCTAGTTCTTGTTTCCACCACATCGGGAGTGACTTTCTGCGCTGAAGTCCTGAGCCCTCAAAGCCATCCACAGGCGTTACAATCAACTTCTGTTAATGTTGATATTAGGTTGGTGCAAAAGTAATTGCAGTTTTGCCATTAAAGGTGATATTTTGGGGCCGGGCGCAGTGGCTCAGGCCTGTAATCTCAGCACTTTGGGAGGCCGAGGCAGGCAGATCACCTGAGGTCAGGAGTTCGAGACCAGCCTAGCTAACATGGTGAAAACCCGTCTCTACTAAAAATACAAAAATTAGCTGGACGTCTGGCTTCAGCAGCGACCACCCCTGCCTCCACCCTCTGAGCTTTGCATGTTCCACTAACCCGGGGCGGGCGGCAGATGGAGGTGTCAGGCTGCTGGCACCTCTGCAAGGGCAGAACACTAACCTGACCATGAGCGGGGACTTGCACATCTGTCCCCAATAAAAGCAATTCCAACCTTAAAAAAATAAAATTAGTTGGGCGTAGTGGCAGGTGCCTCTAATCTTAGCCACTTGGGAGACTAAGGCAGGAGAATTGCTTGAACCTGGGAGGTGGAGTTTTCAGTGAGCTGAGATCGTGCCACTGCACTCCAGCCTGGGCGACAAAAGAGAAGCTCCACCTCAAAAAAAAAAAAAAAAAAAGTAATATTTTGGGCCAGGCACGGTGGCTCATGCCTGTAATCCCAGCACTTTGGGAGGCTGAGGTGGCTCATGCCTGTAATCCCAGCACTTTGGGAGGCTGAGGTGAGCATATCACTTGAGGTTAGGAGTTCAAGACCAGCCTGGCCAACACGGTTGAAACCCCATCTCTACTAAAAATATAAAAAATTAGCCAGGTGTGGTGGTAAGGACCTGTAATCCTAGCTACTCAGAAGTCTGAGGCAAGAGAATTACTGGAATCCGGGAGGCAGAGGCTGCAGTGAGCCAAGATCGTACCATAGCACTCCAGCCCGGGCAACAGAGCAAGACTCCACCTCAAAAAAACCAAGAGTAATATTTTGACCTCCTCTCATGAATCACGAATATCCTTAACGTTATCTAGAATGGTGAGTCTGTTCCAGAAGGTTTTCAACTTACTTTGCTCAGATCCATCAGAGTAATCACTATCTATGACAGCTATAGCTTTACAGACTGTATTACTGCAATAGTAAGACTTGAAAGTTGAAATTACTCCTCAACCCATGGGTTGCAGAATAAATGCTGTGTTACAGGTGTGGAAACAACATTCATCTTGCACAGCTCCAGCTCCATCAAAACTCTTGGGTGACCAGGTACATTTTCTTTCTTTCCTTTTTTCGGTTTTAGAGACAGGCTCTTGCTATGTTGCCCAGGCTGGTCTAGAACTCCTGGCCTCAAGCAATTCTCTCACCTTGCCCTCCCAAAGTGCTGAGATTACTTGAGCTAGCATGCCCACCAGGTGCATTCTCTTTTTTGAGACAGAGTCTCGCTCTGTTGCCCAGGCTGGAGTGCAGTGGCGCGATCTCGGCTCACTGCAACCTCCGCCTCCTGGGTTCAAGTGATTCTCCTGCCTCAGCACCTGCCGCCATGCCTGGATAACTTTTTGTATTTTTAGTAGAGACGGGGTTTCACCGTGTTAGCCAGGATGGTCTTGATCTCCTGACCTCGTGATCCGCCTGCCTGGGCCTTCCAAAGTGCTGGGATTACAGGCGTGAGCCACCGCGCCCGGCCGGAAGGTTTGATCTTCTGTCCATACCACCTGAACTTTCTCCAGACGCGCAATTAGGCTGCTTCCCTTTCTTTTGTGTGTTCATTAGAGCAGCACTTTAAATTTTCTTCAAAAACTTTTCCTTTGTGTTCACAACTTGGCTATCCCTTTGGTGCAAGAGGCCTAGCTTTTGGCTTATCTCAGCTTTTGACATGCCTTCCTCATGAAGCTTAATCATTTCTAACTTTTGATTTAAAGTGAGAGGCGGCCAGGAGCGTTGGCTCACACTTGTAATCCCGGCACTTTGGGAGGCCGAGGCAGGCAGATCATTTGACGTCAGGAGTTCGAGACCAACATGGTGAAACCCTGTCTCTACTAACATACAAAAATTAGCCGGGCACGGTGGCAGGCACCTGCAATCTCAGCCACTCGGGAGGCTGGGGCAGGAGAATCGCTTGAACCCGGGAGGTAGAGGTTGCAATGAGCCAAGATCGTGCCACTGCCCTCCAGCCTGGGGGACAGAGTGTCTCAAAAATAAATAAATAAAATAAAAATAAAGTGAGAGGCATGAGACTCTTCCTTTCACTTGAGCACTTAGTGGCCATTGTAGGCCTAATTTCAATACTGTTGAGTCTTGGAGAATAGGGAGGCCCAAGGAGAGGGACAGAAATGGAAGAACGCCAGCCGGCGAGCAGTCAGTACACACACGACATGTCTTGATTCAGTTTGCTGTCTTAAACAAGGGCAGTTCGTGGCTTTGCCAAAAACCAATTACAATAGTTAACATCAAAGGTCACTCATCACAGATCACCATAACGGACGATGACAATGAAAAAGTTTGAAATATTATGAGAACGACCAACATGTGGTGCAGAGGCAGGAAGTGAGCACGCACCGCTGGAGAGATGGTGCCGGTGGACTTGCTCCACACGGAGCTGCCGTCAACCTTCAATTTGTAAAAAATGCGATTCCTGTAATCCCAGCACTTTGGGAGGCTGAGGCGGGTGGATCATGAGGTCAGGAGATCGAGATCATCCTGGCTAACACAGTGAAACCCCGTCTCTACTAAAAAATACAAAAAATTAGCAGGGCATGGTGGCATGTGCCTGTAATCCCAGCTACTCTGGAGGCTGAAGCAGGAGAATTGCTTGAACCCGGGAGGTGGAGGTTGCAGTGAGCCAAGATCGCCCCACTGCACTCCAGCCTGGGTGACAGAGTGAAACTCATCTCAAAAACAAACAAACAAACAAACAAACAAACAAACAAAAGCGATTCCACGCAGTAGGAGAAAGCGAGGCACACTGAAACGAGATGCGCCTGTATTTACCCGGGAGAAACGGAAACACGTCTCCATGCAAAGATCTTTTCAGGACAGCCACAGCAGCTTTCTTCACGGTATTCCAAAGGTAAAAGCCAAATGTCCATCAGTTGGTGGATGGACAAATACATCTGATGTATCCGTGCAAGGGAATACTATTCAACAATAAAAAGGAACAGACTACTGATCTTGCAACATGGGTGGGTCTCAAAAGCATGATGCCAAGTGGAAGAAGCCAGACAAGAAAAGCTACAGACTGCGCGATTCCATTTATATGACATTCTAGAAATGGCAGAGCTATAGGCACAGAAGGCGGCACAGCGGTTGCCAGGGCTGGAGGTATGCAATTTTGTACATAAATTATCCCCAGTCATCCTGACTTCAAGTAAATAAGTTACTCATTTTCTTTTTTTAGGAAGGAGCAGCCTTATAAATGTCTAAATTTGACAATAAAAATAAGATGCCCAATTTAAAAAGATACAGTTACAAACTGTGCAACAGAACTCCTAACACTCGGGGAAATGTGTGCCTGAGAGTGTGCTGACATGCTAATGAGTCTTCTTGTCACAAAAAGAGAAAGTCGATGGTATTTTTAAATCCTTTTCTCTGTTTTTCAAATGTCCTGTAACGCAATCACTTATCCTTGATAAGGATTATTATTTTTTTAAATCGTACTTTAAAAACTCCGTAGATCAGCAGGCACCAATAGAAAGTACAGGTTCTCCTCAGCTTACGGTGGGGATGCAGCCCGGCAAACCCATCGTAAGTTGAAAATATCCTAAGTCCAAAATGCAGGCTGGTGCCGTGGCTCACGCCTGTAATTCCCAGCACTTTCAGAGGCCAAGTGGGGGCAGATCACCTGAGGCCAGGAGTTCAAGACCAGCCTGGCCAACATGGTGAAACCCCGTCTCTTTTAAAAATACAAAATCAGCCGGGCATGGTGGTGGTGCATGTCTGTAATCCCAGCTACCTGAGAGGCTGAGGCAGGAGAATCACTTGAACCCAGGAGGTGGAGGTTGCAGTGAGCTGAGATCGCACCATTGCACTCCAGCCTGGGCGACAAGAGTGAAACTTCATCTCAAAAAAAAAAAAAAAAAAAAAAGCTGAAAAACCCAAAATGCACTTCCTGCAGATTTCCTGCCAGGCACCCCGGCTCAGCCCAGCCTCCCTCAAACGTGCTCAGGACACTCCCATGAGCCTACAGGTGGGCAAAATCATCTCACACGAAGCCTGTTTGATAATAAAGTGTGGGGCATCCATGTAATTTATTGAATACCGTGCTGAAAACCAGGGAGGTTGTGTGGGACTCAAAGCCCAGTTTCTGTTGCCTGCCTGTTGCTTTAATACCATGGTAAAGTCCAAAAATCGTGACGTCGGGGACTGTCTGTAAATGAAACAAAAAGAACGGATGGAATCTGGAATATGGCCCAGGCATTGGGCACCGTGCCTCTGAGGATTAAGGGGGGGACACAGGAGGTGTCCAGCAGCCTGTGGTCAAGGCCGGGTTCTCTCCCAGGACACTGCCCGTGGCTTTTGTCCTTGGGTCGGCCTGCCTGGCTGCCGTGGCCACAGCTGAGGGCCTGGGAGGAGGCTGTGAGGCCGTGTGGCTGACCGAGTCACATCTTGGGGTAAAGGGGCTGTGGCTGCGGGCCAAGACCTGTCTGCCCTCTGTATTTCCCGCCAGGAAATAGGACAAAGGCAGGTAAGAGCACGGGTGCTTTTGGCTCCAAGTCCCAGGCGTGTGTGAATTCTGATTAGGTTATCTGCCTCCAAGTTAAGTGCGGTCCAGGCTTTGTTTTCTGAAAGTGAAAGTGACCCATTTCCCTGCGTATGTGATGGGAAGGGGCTGACCGTGGGCTCCTCGTGGTTATTCACCTAGCTTTGGGACCCACGTTGGATTGCCTGGACCGCTGCGGTCTTTGAAGGGTTGGTGTGGCAGGCCCGGTCTGGTCTTGAGGGTCACACACGGTTCCTTCAGGACTTCTGGCTGCTGGGGAGGGCAGTGTCCAGCTCCCACAGGCAGGCCCAGATGGACAGGGGGTGTGCCCACAGCCACGGTCATTCCCTGGTGGGAAGAAGGGACAGGACACCATGAGCTACCACAGCAGTCCTGACAGGCCTCACCCATGCCCCTGTGTCTGGGGACACTTTTTTATTTTTTTGAGACAGGCTCTGGCTCTGTTGCCCAGGCTGGAGTGCAGTGGCACCATCTCGGCTCACTGCAGCCTCGACCTCCTGGGCTCAAGCAATCCTCCCACCCAGCCTCCCGAGTAGGTGGGACTACAGGTCTACAGGTGCACACCACCATGCCCCGCTAATTAAAAATTTTTTGAGAGACAGGGTCTTGCTCTGTTGCCCAGGCTGGAGTGCATTCGTGCAATCACAGTTCACTGCAGCCTCAAATTCCTGGACTCAAGTGATCATCCTGCTTCTGCCTCCCAAGTAGATGAGACCACAGGCACACACCACCACACCTGGCTATTTTTTATATTTTATTTTAGAGACAAGGTCTTACTTTACTATGTTGCCCGGGCTGGTCTTGAACTCCTGGGCTTAAGGGATCCTCTTGCCTCAGTCTCCCAAAGCACTGTGATTACAGGCAGGAGCCACTATGCCCGCCCATGGGGGCACATTTTTAATGGGGTTGTTACTCTGTCTTTGGTCTGTGGCCTCAGGTCTGCTGGGTCACCAGTGTCCTTGGGTATATGGGGCATTGGTGGTGACTGGGACCCACCTGCCAGATCCCCAGGCTAGAAGGAGGCCTGCTGGGGACACTGTGGCAATGCCCACACCCAACCCATCCCACACTGCCTTCCGCTCCTTCCTCCTCCATCAACTGGGGGCAAGGACAGTGTCCCCTTTGAGGGGCTACACCAGACCGAGCTGAGCCTGGGGCTTGTTACCCAGGAAACAGTGAAATCACCCGCTCGTTGCCTAGCTCTAATTCTGCGTTCAGTGTCTTGCTCCATCCTGTCCTCCCTCCCTAGGGCAGGCTCCAGCACTCCATGCCAAGGGGAAGAGCCTTTGAGGAGTCGTCTCTGCCATCATCAGGACTGAGGGAAAAGGAAGTCTAGGAGATTAGGGCAAGCCCTCAGTTTTCTTTTCTTTTCTTTCTTTCTTTTTTTCTCTCTCTCTCTCTGTCTCTCTCTCTCTCTTTTTTTTCTTTTTCTTTCTTATTTTTTTGAGACGAAGTCTCGCTCTGTCACCCAGGCTGGAGTGCAGTGGCACCATCTTGCTTCACCGCCACCTCCACCTCCCGGGTTCAGGCGATTCTCCTGCCTCAGCCTCCTGAGTAGCTGGGACCACAGGTGCCCGCCACCAGGTCTGGCTGTTTTTTTGTATTTTTAGTAGAGACGGGGTTTCACCATGTTAGCCAAGATGGTTTCAATCTCCAGCTCCTGAGCTCGTGATCTGCCCGCCTCGGCCTCCCAAAGAGCTGGGATTACAGGCGTGAGCCACCGCGCCTGACCCCTTCAGCTTCCTCAGGTCGACTTAAACAGGAAACAGAATAACACGTTTCATGTTTCTCCTGAACTTTTATGACCGTGTGCAAAACTCCTGCAAAAATAGGGAAGACAGCAAGAAAAAGCAGCCAAGACAGGCACAGCTTCTGAGCTAAGCTTGCAGCTTGTGTATGAGACACGGGGGCAAGATTATGGTTACCGCCCCCCCCACGCAGCAGCAACCCCCTGACCAAGGACGGGGAAGTCAGTCTGTCTTCAAAGCATTAGGTTGTAGACTCGACATCAGACGAAGAGAGACACAAAGGCATGGGGAAAGAGAAAGGGTGAGGTTTGGCTGGAACCTAATCAAAGGTATTAACTTATCTGAAAAAATGCCATGGGTGTCAGGAGGGAGGAGGGGTGGGGAATGGAATGGAGAAAGCAGCCAAGGTCAGGGTGAGGGCTGCTCGCGGGACACCTCCCGCCCATGTGGACGGACAGGCCATGAACTTCGGGGAAGAAGCAGGAAGCAGACAGGGCCGGGGCCCAGGCATTCCGCCCTCTAGCCGGTCCCTGAGCAGGGGTCTGTGTCATCCGCTCCTGTGTCCTCCCCCACAGATAAGAATCTGCTAGTCCGAGCGTGGAGCATTCGGTTCTTTGGTGTTTATATTTCATCATGCACATAAATGGGCTATTATACTCAGTTACACGTCAGGCTCTGGTGAGCTCGATTCATGTAAACTAACTCCAGGACAAGTGTGCCTTCTCGGTGTGATGGCAAAACCAAGCTTCTGGGCCAGGGGGTCCTGCCCCATGGGGATCTCGCAGGGTGAAGGCTCCAGAAATGCCCAGACAGCCACCAGGGTACCGGCCTGGTATGCACCATCCTGACCATCAGCCAGGAATGTCACCATTTTCTAAGATGCTCTACAAATCTGAACATCTCAAGGTCAATATTTGAGGTATAGTTCAGTCACTGCACTCCTAGCTTGGAAGTCCTAAGCTATGCAATAATTTATTTCTGTAATAATGGCCCTGATCTATTAAACCTGTCTCCAAGTTGCTTCTTCAAATCTATCTGGGTGCAAACAGCAAATCTCTGTAATTACAGTTTATACTTCTCACAATGTTCTACACGGCCTGCACTTTTAAAAGACTGGCCGGGCGCAGTGGCTCCCGCCTGTAATCCCAGCACTTTGGGAGGCCAAGACGGGTGGATCACCTGAGGTAGGGGTTCAAGATCAGCCTGGCCCACATGGTGAAACCCCGTCTCTACTAAAAATACAAAAATTAGCCAGGCGTGGTGGTGCACGCCTGTAATCCCAGCTACTTGGGAGGCTGAGGCAGGAGAATCGCTTGAACCCAGGAGGCGGAGGTCGCAGTGAGCAGAGATGGTGCCACTGCACTCCAGCCTGGGGGACAGAGCGAGACTCCATTGCAAGAACCACAAAAATATAATAAATAAAAGTTGGGCCTCACTCCTCCCCGGGGCCTTGGTGTGGCAAGCTGCAGGTGAAGTCAGAGGCTCTCTCACTCGTTGTGAAGTGTTTGTGCGTGTACATAGTCCACTAAAATATTCACTCAACATTCTGCGCATGCACGTTTTATAAAACAAGATTATCTATTTTCTTCATCAATCGGATTGGCACAGTCCTGAAGTGTGACAACATGCTGAGCTGTCAGGGGACTTTGAAACACCGCTGCCGGGGGCGTGACTGTCACAATCCTACTTAGCAATACCCGCTAGACCCAGACATTCCGGGCTTGATAGGCAATATAAAAAAGGCTATATAGCATCCTGGTGAGCGTTAGCATTCGCGGATCCGGTTATCTACAGCAGCACCGCCATAACAGACGGACGCGAACGCCCTCGATGCCCCGGGCAGGAAGCTTCCCCGTAGAAGTATCCCAGCGGAATGCCATGTGGTAGAAAGGCGGGAACGAGCGGTGTTTATATTTTGACTTGGGAAGCGCTCTAGGGACACGCTGTTAAATGGAAAAAGCAAAGAGGTGCAGAACAGTGAGTGTGGTGTGCTCCCACGGAGCAAGAGAGGGAAGGAAGACTCCGGGTGAACGCATATGCTTTCTTGCAATTGCACACAAGTTAGGCAGGGGATCCCAGAAAACCAGGTGCCTTTGCTTGTCTTGGGAGGGGGTTCTAGTGACTGCGGGCCGAGGAGGAGGAGACCTGATCGAATACGATTTTTACAATGTTTGCAACCAAAAGGAAGCCATGTCTCTGAGGGCAATGAGGACGGTTTGCAGAGAGGACACTGGTTAGTCTGGGATGCAGGGGAGAGCTGGACAACAGGACCATCTCGGAGGTGACGTCTTCCCTTGGGGACGCTGCAGGGTTCACAGGCCATGAGCCTCGGAGAGCCAGGCCAGGTGCTGGACCCTCAGAGAGAACCTGGCCTTGACTTTTCTTAAGGCCCGTGGCAGCTGAGCCGTGTAATTAAACAGTCAGGTATCAAGTCCTAGCATTGGGGCAGGAGGAAAAAGACACCCAAGTGGGCAGATGGCCAAGTCCTCTCGTCCTGGTGTTCAGGCAACCCTGGTGACACAGGGAGAGGAGCCCTTGCCCGGCCACAGCTGGCTCTGGTTCCTCGACCTGCATCTTTACAGGGGAAACGAAGCTTCAGCCAAACATCGCCTGTATCAAACCACAGTGTTCCCTTTGGCTTTATGTTGTTGACTCAAGGGAGTGAAGGAAATGAGTATTATTATTATTTTTATTTTTTTTGAGACAGAGTCTTGCTCTGTCTCCCAGGCTAGAGTGCAGTGGCGTGATCTCGGCTCACTACAACCTCCGCAATTCAAGCAGTTCTCTGTCTCACCCTCCCGAGTAGCGGGGATTACAGGCGCCCACACCATGCCTGGCTAATTTTTGTATTTTTAGTAGAGACGGGGTTTCACCATCTTGGCCAGGCTGGTCTTGAACTCCTGGCCTCGTGACCCACCCGTCTCAGCCTCCCAAAATGTTGGGATTACAGGTGCGAGCCACTGCGCCTGGCCAGAAATGAGTATGGTTAATCCAATATTATTCATTTGAAAATGTTTTGGTCTAAAAACTTTTAAAAACAAAATGGTTTCATTTTGTTTCTTTAATCACAGCACCCAAAAGGAAAAGCATCTCCTGGTTGTGTGACTGCTGCTGGCTGCCTGGCTGCGGGTGCTGTGGGGCCAGCCAGACCCTCATTCCTTGGTCCAGCCTTTCTTGAGCGCTTGCTGTATGCCAGGCTCTGTGCTGGGCACAAGGGGTGGAGACTACGAAAGGTGGAGGGGAAGTTAAAGCTCAGCGGGTGAGACACGTGCCACCACAGTGCCCGGCTTTTTCTTTCCGCGTCCCGAGACCTGGTCACCCTGGGTGGTTTTAGGAATGAAGGCAGCACCTGTGTCTCCAACGCCCTGCCCTGAGCCACGCATCCATCCCCAGAAGTGAGGGGATGCCCAGAGGAGGCCTCTTCCTCCCCTTCCTTTGGAGATTAAAATAGGATTTCGGTTGGAATGCAGCCCTCAGGCAGAACAATCGAGAAGGGATGGGGTTTCCGCACTCAGGTGGTGATACTGCAAATCAAAGGGACACCTTTACCTCCCAAAGATAGCTTTCTCTTTACCCTGCTCTGTTTCTACTTAATCCTGCCAGGAAATCTGAGCAGAAAAGCCTCTCCCCTCCCAGCGCCGCAGTGTTGGAAAGGATTTAAGAATCGCTGAAATCTTACCAAACAATGAGGGAGCTTTCCGGACGGAAGCCCGGACCCGGGGATCAAGGTGCACCCTCTGTCCCAGAGATCCGGTGGACCCAGAGAGAGGGGGTGTGGGGCGGGCCTGCCACGGACCCCTGGGGTTCCCGCACATCCTCGCTGCCTGTGGCCCTGCAGTACCTGAGCGCCTCCAGCACCGCCCTGTGCGCCTCGTCGCGGTGCTTCATGCCCACCAGGCTGCTGGCCCATTGCTGCATGATGCGCCTCTTCTCCACGCTGATGGCGTCGATCTCGGTGCAGGCCTGCAGCCAACAGGGGAGGGGGCAGGAATGGCTGTCTCATTTCATTTGCGAGCAAAGCCCAAGAACACCAGAGCCTCACATTCCCAAATCTTCCTCTTTTCCTTCTATCACCGGTACTTTCCTTGATCATGCATCTGCAGAGGGGTAAACACGAGCCTGAATGTAGCTTTCAAGATAACCCGTACCCGCTTTGAGCCTTTGCTCAGGGCCTGCGGTGCTCAGTGCTTGGGAATGAGGAGGAGGAGGGAAGGGAGGAGAGGGAGGAAGGGGGAGGGAGGAGGGGGAAGATGAAGGAGGGAGAGGGGAGGAGAGGGAGGAGGGGGAAGATGAAGGAGGGAGAAGGGGGAGAGGGAGGGGGAGGAGATGAAAGAGGGAGGAGGGGGAGAGGGAGGGGGAGGAGATGAAAGAGGGAGGAGGGGGAGAGGGAGGAGGGGGAGGGGGAAGACGGAGAGGAAGAGGGAGAGGAGGAGGGAGAGGAGGAGGGGATCCTGGCCAGCATCCGTGAAACACCTCTGCAGGGTTGGTGGTGTCATTGATTCGGACTGAGGTCCCACAGGACGGGCCCAGCACCGCTTCCTGTAGGGAGGCCATGATGGAAGGAGGTGTTTGTCTCAAGAATGGCCAGGGCTGGATGCTCTCGTCCAGCTGGGGGAAGCAGGGCTGCCTAGACTGGGAATGAGGAGGCACAACTGGACAGCCAGGGGTGGGCAGGTCAGGCAGGCTGAGCGGAGGCTGGAAGTCTAGGGGCATCGTGGGGGGCAGTGAGGGGCCACCTGCAGTAAGGGCTTGGCCCATGCAGGGGAGGGGCTTGAAAACTAGGGGGGTGGTTCAGGAATTTACTCCAAGGGAAAGGGGAGTTCCTTTATGCTTGGGGCACAGAGGTTAAGGCTGGTACGGCTGCCTGGGCTGAATCTCACCCGCTGTGCCTCAGTGTCCCCAGCTGTGACATGGGTACAGGAGCGGCACCTCCATGGGTACAGGAGCGACCCCGGGGCTGCCGGGTCAAGTGAGTTGATGCCTGCATGCCCAGCACGGCCTGGATCGCGGTCTTGTTTTGAGTGGTGTTTGGGATTCTTGATGAGTCATCCCCAATGCAAGCACTGTGACTTGAGCAAGCTGGCGGCCCGAGTCAGCCAACTGGGGCGTCCTGTAGAACGCCAAGTCCCAGAAGTGCCTGCACGCCGTGACACCCAGGCAAGCTTGGTAGACAGTGACTGAACCACAGTGCGCTAGAACATCACGGGGGAGCCGAGGGCAGCGCCGGGCATGAGAGAGGCCATCGCCCTGGAGACACCATGCTTGGCTGTGAGGGTTTCTGAACCATCTATTCATTACGACGTAACCTAAAATGGTGTGAATTAAGTATACCACGATGAGGGGGACTTTTTTTTCCTCTCACAGACGCTTACTTAGGATTATTGGGCAGCCTAGGAAGGGACACTGTGTACATCCCGGGACTGACTTCCCTTTTGTCTGTAGTATTTCCTTTTATTTTAGCTGACATGTTACAGCTGTATATCTCTGGGGTACAGAGTGATATTTCGACACATGTACAATGTGTACTGCTTGAATCAAGGTAATTAGCGTATCAGTCACCTCCAGCAATTGTTATTTCTTTGAGTTGGGAACATTCAAAACCCTCTCTTCTAGCTATCTGAAAATGTACAATAAATTATTGTTGACTGGGCCAGGTGCGGCGGCTCATGCCTGTAACCCCAGCACTTTGGGAGGTCAAGGCGGACGGATCACCTGAGGTCAGGGGTCCGAGACCAGCCTGGCCATGGGGGTGCAGGTGTCTATTGGATGCACGGATTCCCTTTCCTTTGGATAAATGCCCAGTCGTGGGACTGCTGGGTCACAGTTTTGTATGGGGGTAAGTTATTCACTAAGGAGGCTGCTCTGTGCCATTGGGCAGTGGGAGCTGGCCCAGGCAGCAGGTGGGGACCCAAATTCAGCCAGGATGCACCTTAAACTGAGCCTGTGCGAGGCCTCCCCATGGTGCCCCTGAGGCTGCCGGCCACAGCCTGGTTGACTGAGGTGCAGGTCAAGGCATAAGGATGGAAAGATGGCTGCCGGGCTCAGTCACCTGTGCATTTAGACCCCAGTTTTTCACAAAGGCAAGTGTTCAGCCTATGCAAATAGAATGTGCAAATAAGCAAAAAGAAAATGAAAATTCAATAACCCTAACACTTAGAGATAACCATTTCTAACTTCTTACACCTGTGATTGTGTGTGTGTGCGAAATCAAATTCTATATATTGTTTCATAATCTCCTATTAATTTTTTTTTTTGAGACACTTTTACTCTCGTCACCCAGGCTGGAGCAAAATGGCACGATCTTGGCTCACTGCAATTTCCGCCTCCTGAGTTCAAGCAATTCTCCTGTCTCAGTCTCCCGAACAGCTGCGATTATAGGCACTCGCCACCACGCCTGGCTAATTTTTGAATTTTTAGTAGAGACGGGGTTTCACCATGTTGGCCAGGCTGGTCTCGAACTCCTGACCCTCAGGTGATCTGCCGACCTCGGTCTCACAAAGTGCTGGGATTACAGGTGTGAGCCACCATGCCCCGCCATATTAAAAATTAATGTATTGTGCCAGGTGCGGTGGCTCATGCCCGTAATCCCAGCACTTTGGGAGGCTGAGGCGGGGGGATTACTTGAGGCCAGGAGTTCCCAACCAGTCTGGGCAACAAAAAGAAACACCGTCTCTACAAAAAGAATAATCATAATAAAAAAATTAGCACGGTGTGGTGGCATGTGCTTATAGTCCTACCTACTTGAGAGGCTGAGGTGGGAGGATTGCTTGGACCCAGAAGTTTGAGGCTACAGTGAGCCATGAGGGCCCCAGTGCACTCCAGCCTGGGGGACAGAGTGAGACTTAGTCTCTACCATCATTCTCAGCAAACTATTGCAAGGACAAAAACCCAAACACCGCATGTTCTCACTCATAGGTGGGAATTGAACAATGAGAACACATGGACACAGGAAGGGGAACGTCACACAACGGGGCCTGTTGTGGGGTGGGGGGAGGGGGGAGAGATAGCATTAGGAGATATACCTAATGCTAAATGACGAGTTAATGGGTGCAGCACACCAGCATGGCACATGTATACATATGTAACAAACCTGCACATCGTGCACGTGTACCCTAAAACTTAAAGTATAATTTAAAAAAAATTAAAATAAGAAATTAATATCGAGACAGGTTTCCATGTCAGTAGAGCTCTTTTTGGTGTAGTGTATTCTGATGCACAGGTGTATGAAAATGGGTTTCACTAATGTCCTCTTCTTGGGGTCTTTCTTTCTGATGACACAACACGGTGATGAGCGTCATCTCCCCCATGAGTCTCTATTCACTGTATTTATTTCTTTAGAGACGGGGGTTTCACTCTGTCACCCAGGCTGGAGTGCAGTGGTGCAATCATAGCTCACTGCAGCCCTGACTTCCTGGGCACAAGTGCTCCTCCTGCTTCAGCCTCCTGAGTAGCTGGGACTACAGGTGCACCCCACCAAGCCTGGCTTTATCATTTTTAACATACAAAAATGTTATCTGCATAGGTCTTTGCTAGGTTCCTTGGAATGGAGTCTAAGCACTAACAGGGTGCGGGGTTAGGGTTAGGGTTAGGGAGGGAGTGGCTGCATATGATCATATCGCCCTGGATGAAGATCTTGATAAAGATAAAGGCCAATCTGTATTTTCATGGCCGACAGCAGGGAGGGCTCATCTCTCCTTATCTTTGCCAACTCTGTAGGGGACTCCCTGTCCTTTGGTTACTTGTGACTTCGCTCGATGAACAGGGGCCCTGCTGTTGCCCCCGCACTGTTCTGGGTACTGGAAATGAGAAATGAAGGAAGTGCGGGCGGCCCCCTTCCCTGGGGAAGTTGCATCGAGGGGAGGGCGGGAGGTGCAAAAGGAAGCATCTACCAAGTAGCCCACCTGCCTCCAGGGTGTGGAAGCACACAGGGCGAGTCTCCTTGGCTTTCAGCCTCTCTTCACAACCCCGGATTTACTAATGGCTGCGAGTTGTCTTCTCCTGCCTGTCTCCCCGCCTTCATCTGGTTTGTGGCGTCCTTAATCTACAAAGGTTTTATTGAGGGTGTGATTGTCCTCCTAGTCTTTTGTTTTGTTTTGTTTTTTGAGATGGATTCTGGCTCTGTCGCCCAGGCTGAAATGCAATGGCATGATCTCGGCTCACTGCAACTTCTGCCTCCTGGGTTCAAGCGATTCTCCTGCCTCAGCCTCCCAAGTAGCTGGCATTACAGGCGTGTACCACCACGCCCAGCTAATTTTTGTATTTTCAGTAGAGATGGGGTTTTGCCATGCGGGCCAGGCTGGTCTCGAACTCCTGACCTCAGGTGATCCAGCGGCCTCGGCCTCCCAAAGTGCTGGGATTACAGGCGTGAGCCACCTTACCCGGCCCCTCCTAGTCTTTTCCTTTAAGGTTCCTGCTTTTGGTGTTATACTTTGAAAGGCCTCCCCAGCCCAGGATTATATAAATATTTTCATTTGTTTTCGTCTGGCACATTTTCCCCCATTTAAATACTTGATTCCATCTGGAATTTATTTTAGTGTCTGGTATGAGGAAAAGATTTAATTTTTTCCCAAATGATTAACCAAATGTCCCGACATCATTGGATGCATAATTCATTAGCTCTCTGGTAATTTATAATCTACTAGGTTTTTATATAAACTCTGGCTTGCTTTGGGGCTCTCTCATAGGCTTCAATGTCTTGCCTGTCTATCTTGTGACACATTATTTTAGCCTCTAGAACTTTACGGTTTTGTTTTATTTTAGACAGGGTCTTGCTCCGTAGCCCAGGCTGGAGTGCAGTGGTATGATCATATTTCATTGGATCTTTCATAGTTCAAGGATCTTTCATGATCCTTCCTTTTCAAAATTTTCTTGGGTATTCTTGAGCATTTAGTCTTCTAAGTGAACTTTAAAATCAATTCGTTGAGAATAAAGTGTTGTTGTTCTTTTTTTTTTTTTGACCTCCCGGGCTTAAGTGATCCTCCTGCCTCAGCCTCCTGAGTAGCTGGGACCACAGGTGCACACCACCATGGTGGGCTAATGTTTTATTTTTTTTTAATTATTATTTTTTTGTGGAGACAGGGTCTCACCATGTTGCCCAGTCTGGTCTTGAACTTCTGGGCTCAAGCCATCCTCTTGCCTCAGCCTCCCCAAGTGCTGGGATTACAGGTGTGCACCACCTTGCCTGGCCAGAGCTTTACTGTATACTTTAATATTTGGTGCGGCGATGCTAGGGTGATCTGCCATCCTGCTGTGTCCAGGACCCCCTGGGCTTAGCATGGAAAGTCCCTTGTCTTGGGGACCCCTCAGTCCTGAGCAGACTGGGATGGCTGCTTGCCCCGTTTGAATCTTCTCTTCCAAAACCATTCTTGGCTAGCCTTCCTAATTTATTTTTCAGATAAAACTCCAGAATTGTTTTGTTAACTAAGGGATTGTTTGTTCCTGAGATTCTGATTGGGACGTGCTCTACTTTAATTGCATTTGTAGCTGGAGAGACCAGTGCTGAGTAACGCCCAGCCCCGGGCCCTCCCTTTACCCTGGGAGCCCAGCGTGCTCATCCGTTCCTTCAAGTCCTCTTCCTTCTTTTTCATTGGCTGGGCACGGTGGCTCATGACTGTAATCCCAGGACTTTGGGAGGCCGAGGTGGGTGGATCACCTGAGGTCAGGAGTTTGAGACCAACCTGGCCAACATGGTGAAACCCTGTTTTTACTAAAAATACAAAAATTAGCTGGGCATGGAGGTGGGCGCCTGTAGTCCCAGCCACTCTGGAGGCTGAGGCAGGAGAATTGCTTGAATCTGGGAGGCGGAGGTTGCAGTGAGCTGAGATTGTGCCACTGCACTCCAGCCTGGGCGACAGAGCGAGACTCTGTCTCAAAAAAAAAAAAAGTTAATTGTTTCCTCCGTGTCATTCCCGCACCCGTGAATGAAGATGGTGACTCATAGTTTTTTTTTTTTTTTTTTTAAGTTGCAGTAACTTTGGTTTCTGGTGCTACCACTACAGACCTGAATCTGGGGCCAAGAGGGAGCAGCTTTCACCCCCTTCGTTCCCTCCACTCCCTACTCCACGAGGTGCAGAGATGTAGGAGCTACCCGGAAGGCCGGCTGCCCACGGGGGTGAGAATTGTTAGAAAGACTTCAGTCCTCCCCGGAAGAGGTCCCTGCAGGCTAAGGAACTTGCTGAGCATCCCCGCAGCAAGCTGGCCTTGGCGGTCATGAAGCGACTAGAGTACCTGAACCCTGCGAGGCCTTCTGTCACCCACTAGCCAGGGAAGGAATAGGAATCCGGGCTGTCCACCTGTCAGTATCTACTGTGGCCCCACCATGGGGAGGGCCCGATGTTTGCAGATGTAAGCTGGCTGCAGTCACTCATCCAGCAGACGGGCAGGTGCAGTCTAGTAGACCCACCAGCACCCTGTGCGTGGACACTCACTGGAGGGTCGAACACTGAGAGCTGCGGGGACTGCTTTTACCTCACTCACTGCTTTCCTTAAAATCCGGGTGTCCTCAGCTTGGGCCAAGTACTGAGCCTCAAACAGGGCAATGTCTTCTTCCAGTTGCTGGGCTCGAGTGGTGAGCTGGTCCACATACAGGTCCTGGGAAACAGGATGAGAAGCAGCCCCGTCAGGAGGTGCCCGTGGCTGAGGGCCTGTTCTCCACCAACCCTTGATACAAGTTGACGCCACCCAGGCCGGCCGCCACCCCTCCGGCCGGAAGCCTTCACGCAGGAGGCAAAGCTGAGCCCCTTTTTGAAGCTCCACGGTCTGGTGATCATTAAACATGTGTCGAGTTTGCAGAATACCTGCTTTTTCTTCTCGATTTCTGCCCGGATCCTCTCCGTCTCGGCCTTCTTTACCACTTGTGTCATCACGCGGATGTCGTCACGCATGTCCTGGTCGATGTTCTGCATGTAGAAGAGATGCAGGGCCAAGTTCTCCATCTCAGTCTGCAGAGCCGCCACTGCGGGGCGCGGCGGGGGAGAAAGAGAGAGAGAGTGAGTGGGGAGGCTGTCCCAGCGTCCCCCATGCAGAGACCCAGGAGGAAGCAGGGAACAGCCGTTCTGGGCACCCTTCCTGCCATTTTTGGGTAAGACTGGGAAACTGCTTTTAAACTATCAAGACACAGACTTTGTCAGCAAAGAGTTTACAGTCTCTTGGAAGAGACAAAAATATACGGAATCTACATCCACAAATTGCAGCAAGCTGTTCCATTCCCCACCAAGTCTCAGAGATCCTCCTGGTAGTCTAAGGATACACTGAAGTAGTGCCAGGTGGTAAGGCTTCGGGTTGATTGCATAGATGTCTTACCACTGAAAGGCTGGCAACCTTAGGTGGAGTCTTAAGTCCCCTGGGAGGAGACGAGAACATCCAGGGCAGGCTGAGCTCCACAGATGCCCCTGCACTGACACCGCTGCACAGCAGTGCAGGCCAGAGAGGACGAGGCTAGAAGAGGCAGCAGCTTCCATCCTGTCCCAAGTTAAGTGACAGATTTATGTCAGTGCTCTCAGAGGAGGCCAAGGCCCGAGGAACTGATTCCTTTAACAAAACTTGCATGAGATGGATTTCTTTTTTTTTTTTTGAGACGAAATCTCGCTCTGTCGCCCAGGCTGGAGTGCAGTGGCGCGATCTCGACTCACTGCAAGCTCCGCCCCCAGGGTTCACGCCATTCTCCTGCCTCAGCCTCCCGAGTAGCTGGGACTACAGGCGCCCGCCACCACGCCCGGCTAATTTTTTGTATTTTTAGTAGAGACGGGGTTTCACCATGTTAGCCAGGATAATCTCCATCTCCTAACCTCCTGATCCACCCACCTTGGCCTCCCAAAGTGCTGGGATTACAGGCATGAGCCACCGCGCCCGGCCATGAGATGGATTTCTAAAGCTGGAGTGCAAATTTATTGAGGGAGCTACACGTGGGTCAGTACTTGCTTGCTCACTGCACAGAGCACTCCCTTTCAGTGGCTGGATCCAAACAGAAAACTGAATTACAGGCCAAAAGGCTGCTGGACGCATATCATCCTGGAGCCAGGTGTGCTCGAAGGATACAGCTTAAACTTGCAAAGCCATTTTGGCTGGGTGTGGTGGCTCACGCCTGTAACCCCAGCACTTTGAGAGGCCGAGGTGGGCGGATCACTTGAGGCCAGGAGTTCAAGACCAGTCTAGCCAACATGGTGAAACCCTGTCTCTACTCAAAATACAAAAATTAACAGGATGTGTTGGTGCACGTCCGTAATCCCAACTACTCAGGAGGCTGAGGTGGGAGGATCATGCCACTGCACTACAGCCTGGGTGACAAAGTGAGACTCTGTCTCAAAAAAAAAGCAACCTGTGCATTAATATAGCTTGCAGTAGCTAAATTCCAAAGTAATTTCCTCTAAGTTCTCTTTGAGGACTTGCTATTCTTCTTTTTTTTTTTTTTGAGACAGAGTCTCACTCTGTCGCCCAGGCTGGAGTGCAGTGGTGATCTCGGCTCACTGCAAGCTCTGCGTCCCGGGTTCACGCCATTCTTCTGCCTCAGTCTCCTGAGTAGCTGGGACCACAGGTGCCCGCCACCACGCCCGAGTAATTGTATTTTTTTTTTTAGTAGAGATGGGGTTTCACCATGTTAGCCAGGATGGTCTCGATCTCCTGACCTTGTGATCCGCTTGCCTCGGCCTCCCAAAGTGCTGGGATTACAGGCGTGAGCCACCAGGCCTGGCTAAGGACTTGTTATTATTCTTAAATATTTCTTTCATTATCCTTCCTTTTCAAAATTGTCTTGGATATTTTTGTGCATTTAGTCTTCTAAATGAACTTTAAAATCAATTTGTTGAGAATAAAGTGTTGTTGTTCTTGTTGTTTTCTGAGACAGGGTGTCACTTTGTCACCCAGGCTGGAGTGCAGTCGCACAATCATAGCTCACCGCAGCTTCAACCTCCTGGGTTCACCTCAGCCCCCCAAGTAGCTGGGACTCCAGGCACATGCCACCATGCCCGGCCAATTTCTCATTTTTGTATTTTTTGTAGAGATGGGGTTTTGCCGCATTGCCCAGGCTGGTCTTGAACTCCTGAGCTCAAACGATCTGCCAGCCTCAGCCTCCCAAAGTGTCAACACTACAGGCGTGAGCCTCCGCACCTGGCCCGAGGTGCTTTTTGTTTTGAGGTGGAATATCCGCAGCACGTGTTGCTAAGGGACAGCAAGCGAGGAACCGAGCAGTGGGTATAATATGCAGCCATTTAAGTTAAAGAGAGAGAGAGAGATACACATACACACACACCCTTGTGACTTTGCTTAGATATGCAAAAAATCTCCAAAAGACTCCACAAGGGCTGAACACAGTGGCTTATGCCTGTAATCCCAGGACTTTGGGAGGCCGAAGCAAGAGGATCACTTGAGCCCAGGAATTGGAGACCAGCCTGGGCAACACAGTAAGACCCTGTTTCTACCAAAAAAAAAAAAAAATATATATATATATATATATATATATATATATATATGAAAATTAGCCAGGCCTGGTGGTGTGTGTGTAGTCCCAGCTACTTGGGAAGCTGAGGTGTGAGGATCACTTAAGGCTGGGAGTTCGAGGCTACTCTGCCATTGCATTCCAGCCTGGGAAACAGAGCAAGATGCGTCTCGCTGTCTCGAAGAAAACAAAAACAAAAAGAATCCACAAGAATCTACGTTGCCTCTGCGGAGGGCCCTGGTGGCTGGGTGGGGGAAGGGGAAAAGAGACGAAAACTTCCTCTTAGTTGTAGAGCTCTTGCATTTTGAATCATTACTTTTCCAAAATAAGTAAATAATTATGTTGAATAAATTTAAGTTCACCCAAAACATCTCACCACGGAGGGTAACGGGAATTGCAATGGTTTTATTGCTAATTTGGAGGGAAATGGCATTTTTATATCATGCGTCTTCCCAGCTGGTAACGTGGGCACTCCATTTATTTAAATCTGTTTTATGACCTTTCATAACATTTATTGTTTTTTTTCAGACAGGCTCATCATTCCTTGTTGGATTTCTTCCTGGACTTATTTAAAAGTTGTTATAGCTATTATGAATGAGCTTTTTTAAAAATTGTAATTCCTAACTATATTACTGGTGTAGAAGAAAACTACAGAGCTGGTATCCAGCTACTTTATTGATTTCTTACTGTTTCTATTGGCTTTTATTTTTCATTAGTAGAGGTTGAGAATTTCAGTATTTCATTCCCAGATCCATATCTCATTTCTTTCTCTTGTTTTCTTTGCGTTGCTGGAGCCTCCAAAACAGTCTGGGGTAACTGCTATGCTAGCAGGCCTCCTCATCTCATTCCTGATTTTAAGTCTAGTCTTTCCACTGGGTAACATTTTCTTGTTAGTTTCTGATAAATACTTAGAACTCTCCTTCTATCCTACTTTGGGATGGATGATGAGTTTTATTAAATACCCATTTGGCACCCACCCAGGAAGCCTTTTTTTTTTATCCTTGTATTTTGTTTTATTTGATTTATTTATTTTTTTTTTTTGAGACAGTGTCTCACTCTGTTGGCCAGGATGGAGTGCAGTGGCACAGTCTCGGCTCACTGCAACCTCTGTCTCCTGGGCTCAAGCAATTCTCCTGTCTCAACCTCCTGAGTAGCTGGGATTACAGGTGCCTGCCACCACACCTGGCTAATTTTTTGTACTTTTAGTAGAAACAGGGTTTCACCACGTTGGCCAGGCTGGTCTCGAACTCCTGACCTCAGGTAATCTGCCCGCCTCGGCCTCCCAAAGTGCTGGGATTACAGGCGTGAGCCACCACATCCGGCCTCCATTCTTTAATTTATAAATATAATGCACAAAATTAGTAGATTTCCTAATTGTGAATTATTCCTGTGTGAATTCTGGAAGTAAATCCTACTTATTTTTGCTAACATTTTGTTCAGGATTTTCACTCCTCACATGTGGGGCCGCTTTACAGTTTCCTGCTTGTATGCTGTCAGCGTTTGCAGCCAGCCTTTCACTAAGCATTGCAGGACCAGCCTGTGGGGAGTTTCCGGAATCTTCCATGCCCTGGAGCTTTGATAACACAGGAAGTGTTTGTTCCTTGAAAGGTTACTAGAAGCCTTCCATAACATCTTCCAATACTGGTGCATTTAGGGAAAACAGATTTTTGACATTTTCAATTTCTTGCATGATGAAACCAGTACAATGCATAGCTTTCTTGCAATTAAAAACAAAAAACAAAACAAAAAAAACCCTCCCCCAAGTTGTCCTCATTCCCAACACTGTTACTTGCATGATCTCCTTTTTATTGCCAGATAAGCCAGCAGTGTGTAAGGTTTATTGGTCATTTAAAAAAAAAGCAGTTTATTTATCAAGTCAATTCATTTTTTATTTATTTCATCAGCTTCTGCTTTTGATCTTTATTGGTTTATTTTTCTGCTTCTTTCAGTTTATTTCCCTCTTTTTAGCTTCTCGAATAGAATGTCTGTTTTCAGGCTTGTTTGTGGAAATGTAAATAAACTCTGTCATGGGTTTTGTCTGAGCAGATTTGGCTGCAGCCAGAAGTCTTCATGCGTGGACTTCCCGTTGTTGTTAATTTCCAGAGTCTAACTGACATGTAGGTCAAATGCTAACCATCCTTCTCCCTTAGAATTCTGTATGCATTGGGAGGCCAAGGTGGGCGGATCACGAGGTCAGGGGTTCAAGACCAGCCTGACCAACATGGTGAAACCCCGTTATCTACAAAAATACAAAAATTAGCCAGGCATGGTGGCGGGCCCCTGTAGTCCCAGCTACTTGGGAGGCTGAAGCAGGAGAATCGCTTGAACCCGGGAGGTGGAGGTTGCAGTGAGCTGAGATCACGCCACTGCACTCCAGCCTGGGCGACAGAGAGAGACTCCATCTCAACAAACAAACAAACAAACAAAAAACACAAAAAAGAGAATTCTGAATTCTGTATGCATTGACATCCTGCTATTTAAATTTAAGATCTGTGATTCTCAGCCCTGGCTGCAAGTTAGCATCATCTGGAAGCTTAAGGGTCAAAAAGAAAGCCAGAAACAAACAATGCCTGGTCCTTCCCAGAACAAACCAATCTGAAATCTGGGCTGGGATAGGTCCTGGTGGTTTTGAGCTCTCCCTGGTTCCTCCAAGGCGCAGCTGATGGAGGCCTTGATGAAAGCGTAGCCCAGGCCCGGCCTCAAGAGGCCATCTGGGTTTTCCCGCCTGGAAGCCTGCAGCATTTTTTCTTTTGCCGTGGTATTTGGAAATCCCACCAGCTATGTCTGCGGAGGTTTATTTTCTCTTTCAGCTGCATGGCCCGTCACGAGTCTTTCTATCTGCAGATTCGTCTTTCCTGAACTCACGCATCTGTTCTCCTGGACATTGGCTATTGCCTCTCATCTCCTGAAATCTCCCTTTCGGACACTGATTCGATTTCCCTAATCTGTCGTCCATGTCTTTTACCTCCTCCTCAAGATATCAATCATTTGGGGTTTTGCTCTATTTCCAGGGAAGGTTCCTCGAACTGGCTTTTTAGTTAAGAAATTCAGTTTTCAACTGCATTCATTTGTCTAGTTAGTGCCTTTTGGGGGGATGATGATTATATTTTTAAATTTCACGTACCCCTTTTCCTAACACTTTGTTCTCTTTATGGATGCAATGTCCTCTAAAATCTCATGAGACTACCAGTTGGCGCCTCTGCACACTCTGGGATGATGATTATATTTTTAAATTTCACGTACCCCTCTTCCTAACACTTTGTTCTCTTTACGGATACAACGTCCTCTAAAATCTCATGAGACTACCAGTTGGTGCCTCCGCATGCTCTGTTTTTAGAATCAGGGCTGGGTTTGCCTGTCTGTCCGGCTCAGTCTCCTCTCAGGTCTGGGGATCTCGGGTTGGTAACTCATTTTGGTGTGAAGGTTTAGTGTCGGTGATGGTTAATACTGAGTGTCAACTTGATTGGATTGAAGGATACAAAGTATTGATCCTGGGTGTGTCTGTGAGGGTGTTGCCAAAGGAGATTAACATTTGAGTCAGTGGCCTGGGAAAAGGCAGACCCACCCCCAATCTGGGTGGGCACCATCTCATCAGCTGACAGTGCGGCTAGAGTGTAAGCAGGCAGAAAAATGTGAAAAGAGAGACTGGTGTAGCCTCCCAGCCTACATCTTTCTCCTGTGCTGGATGCTTCCTGCCCTTGAACACTGGACTCCAGGTTCTTCATTTTTGGAACTCAGACCGGCTCTCCTTGCTCCTCAGCCTGCAGACGGCCTATTGTGGGACCTTGTGATCCTGTGTCAATACTGAATAAACTCTCCTTTCTCTATATATCTATCCTGTTAGTTCTGTCCCTCTAGACAACCCTAATACAGTCTCCCTCCCAGATGAGGCAGGTGACCGTGGGCTTTCTCCAGGGGCCAGGACCCACGTCTCACCTAAGGGACTGTGCAGTGGTGGCTGCCCCCCGGTCAGGGCCGGGACCGTTGCCCAAATTCTTCAGTTCTGAGAAGGCAGAGACGGTGCTGTTTGACGCAGGCCTTGCTGGGTTGAAGAGCCTCGGCTCTGGCCCTCTCCTAATCTCCAGGAAGCAGAGTCCACCAGAGTGTTTGGATCTTTTTGGAATCCCACCCACTCTTTAAGCCCTAGCAGAGGGGAGCCGGAGGGCGCTCCACACCAGCTCCACGGCTCCAGCCTCACTGCAGGTGTGGGGAGCAGTTAGGGGCACGCGTCCTCCTTCAGGTGGGTGTAAATTTGGTTACTTCTGGAGGATGTGGCTCTTTCAGTTCAGTGTGGATGTCACTTTCTTTCCTTTTACTGTTTTCTGTTCATTTGATGCTAACTGGAGAGAGGTTCTTTTTTCTTTTTTTTTTTTTTTTTTTTTTTTTTGAGACGGAGTCTCGCTCTGTCGCCCAGGCTGGAGTGCAGTGGCGGGATCTCGGCTCACTGCAAGCTCCGACTCCCAGGTTCACGCCATTCTCCTGCCTCAGCCTCCCAAGTAGCTGGGACTACAGGCGCCCGCCACTACGCCCGGCTAATTTTTTGTATTTTTAGTAGAGACGGGGTTTCACCGTTTTAGCCGGGATGGTCTCGATCTCCTGACCTCGTGATCCGCCCGCCTCGGCCTCCCAAAGTGCTAGGATTACAGGCGTGAGCCACTGCGCCCAGCCAAGAGAGGTGCTTGATAAGTGCCCACTTACCCTAACTCTGAAATTTCCAGAACCTCTTCCACTTTTCTCAGGGTTTAAAATGTTTCTTTCCAGAACAGCTGGGATAGCCATGTGCTTCTGTTTTCCTCCAGGTTTGTGTAGGTCATTTCCCCATTATAAGAGTAATACACAGTTGATTGAGAAAGTTGAAAACATCAAAAAGCATAAAGACTGAAATACTCCGTAGTCACAAGAGGAAGCCACTGTCCCCGGTCACCTACATGACCAGCTCTGTGCAAGGACGTTGCTTTATCGGTAATGTTGCATAGCACGTGCTGTAGCCCCCACTGTCTCATCTGATTCAAAGCTACCCACTGACCTGCCGCACACATCCTACGGCGGTCAGGCCCTGGGCCATGGTCTGACCGTCGTGCCGGCCTCACCCTCGCATTCGCATCTATTGAAACCCTCCATCACCCCCGGTCTGCTCTCGCCTCCTGGTCTCATCTATCCTGGGACCTCTGCAGCTCACCCATCTCTCCCAGTTTTGAATCTCTACGCTCTGGCTGTTAGCAGCTTCAGCATTTGCTGCTTTGTCCTGACAGGTGCCATTTAACATATTTATAACCGGGTGCAGTGTCTCATGCCTGTAATCCCAGCATTTTGGGAGGCCGAGGCAGGCGAATCACCTGAGGTCAGGAGTTCGAGACCAGCCTGGCCAACATGGTGAAACCCCGTCTCTACTAAAAATACAAAAAATAGCCAGGCATGGTGGCAGGTGCCTGTAATACCAGCTACTTGGGAGGCTCAGCCAGGAGACTGGCTTGATCCCGGAAGGGGGAGGTTGCAGTGAGCCAAGATCGCGCCATTGCACTCCAGCCTGGGTGACAGAGTGAGACTCCATCTCAAAAAAACAACAACAAAAAGACATTTGATTTATGTGCCTTCCCCTCCTAAAAAGGGTGGGAACCCCTCCAGGATGCACACACATCTTACTTTTCTAGATGCCTGGCCATGGTACATGGAGACACCCCTGGGAAACCCTCCAGGACCGGATGGCGTGTGGGGCTGCCGGGTTGCCTTACACTTTTTGCGCTCCTCGTTGGCGGCTGCGCAGGTCTTGGTGTAGAGAGCGCGGGCGGCCTGCAGCTCCTCCTCCTTCTGCCTGCGCTCGCTCGAGGCCATTGCGTGGCGGTCGTGACTCTTCTCCAGCAGCTTCTGCAGGTGTACCAGGTGCTGCTGCACCTCATAGAGATTCACCCCCAGCTCCTGCCGCTGGGCTCGGCTCTGCTTGGTAGCCACAACCTGGACCAAAGAGAGAAACAGGGTCACCAGGACGCAGGCATCCGACCAGGGTGGGAGACTGGACGGATACACACCAGCTCTTGGAGGTCCAGCTTCAACTTTTCGATCTGTCGGTTCAGGTAGTTCTTCAGGGCAGCCTGGAATCTTACCATCAGGGGCTAGAACAATGGAAAACCACAGGTGGTTACCTTTCTGGTTACCCTCCTGCCCGACCCAGGGCTCAGCCCAGGTGGCCACAGGTCTCCCTCCGGTGGGCCAGAGACGACTTCCGTGTGGAGTGCTCCCTGCTTCTGCTTGGGATTCTTACTCTGGAAGCCACAAATTAAAGGCACCTCATGGTCTCATCTGAGGCACTTGCAGAGAACTGAGTGCATATTTTGGCAAAATGATGGTGAGCTGGGGCCAGAGGGTGGGGTGGAGCAGTGGTCTGGGGAGAGAACCTCCCTGTGCAGCCCCCAGCTCCTTCCGGCAGTTCCTGGAGCTCTGCAGCTGTCCTGATGGGTAAATGAAATCAACATCTGCCTTTTCCCCTTGCCAGTGGGTGGGGCAGGGAGCTGCGATCCAATTGGTGCCCTCAAGGCAGTGGCTGCGAAGATGGGCCCCACACCGCCAACATTTGGCAATGACTGGAGACATTTTTTTTTTTTTTTTTTTGAGACAGAGTTTCGCTCTTATTGCCCAGGCTGGAGTGCACTGGTGCCATCTTGGCTGTCTGCATGCAACCTCCGCCTCTTGGGTTTAAGCGATTCTCCTGCCTCAGCCTCCTGAGTAACAGGGATTACAGGTGCTCACCACCATGCCCAGCTAATTTTTTTTTTTTTTTGTATTTTTAGTAGAGATGGGGTTTCACCATGTTGGCCAGGCTGGTCTCGAACTCCTGACCTCAGGTGATCCACAGACCTTGGCCTCCCAAAGTGCTGGGATTACAGGCATGAGCTACCACGTCCAGCCTGGAGACATTTTTGATGATCACAACCAAGGCGGGGGGGTGGTGCTCCTGGCATGTAGCAGGGGGAGCTCGGGGATGCTGTTCCACACCATGCAAGGCACAGCACAGAATGACCCGGCCCCACGGGGCAGTGGTTCCGGGGTTGAGAAACACAGGCCTCACCTATACCAACCTCAGAGGAGAGTACCCTACGAAGAGGCAGGTCAATCAGTGCCAATAAACGGTGCAGTGAACAGGCGAGATACAAGTACAGCATTTAGGGTCAGGAGTGGGAGACAGTGCAGGCAGAGAAAGGGGCCTGAGTCATTCGCCATCCATGTAGGCAAAAGCAAAACCTGGGAAGGCTTCCTTACGTGGTCTGGGTCCAAAACCACCAGCTGGGACCCTTCGTCTTCTGCTTCCTCGTCACTCCCCTCGGACTCCACTCTCTCTGCCATGGCCCCCTCCTCGGTGCTGGGCTGCTGGATCTGGTCCTGGAACACTGGCAGGTCTCCTTCCCTGGGGTGGGCATCGGGCACCCCTGGGGGGATCACTGGGGGGAGAGACAGCGACACCATTGAGGAGCTGCTGGAGAGAAGCCTCAGTGATTCTATTCTGGGGCATCAATGGCACAGCTGCTGTCATGCCTCATGCAGCATGATGGGAAAGTGACAGCAAAAGCATCCCAACGGTCTGTGGGTCAGAAACATCATTCACCCCATCTTCTATTCCCTGACTCAATGCATCCCAGAGAAAGCGTCCCGTTTTAAAGGTAGGCAGGAAGGAAATTATTTTTGAGAGGCTTTCTTTACACATAAAGAGTGAACAGAAAGGTGGCCACTTAACTAGTGGATTGGATACAATATTTTTTATCCCCAGACAGAGTCTTGCTCTGTTGCCCAGGCTGGAGTGCAGTGGCGTGATCTCGGCTCACTGCAACCTCCACCTCCGGGGTTCAAGCGATTCTCCTGCCTCAGCCTCCCGAGCAGCTGGGGATTACAGGCACCCGCCACCACGCCCGGTAATTTTTGTATTTTTAGTAGAGACAGGGGTTTCACCATGTTGGCCAGACTGGTCTCGAACACCTGACCTCAGGTGATCCACCGGCCTTGGCTGGGATTCCAGGCGTGAGCCACCGCGCCCGGCTTGTTTTTTTACTAATTTAGACACGTGCTGTTTTCATGTCATTTGCAAGTAATGAAAGGTTTGGACCGGCTGCAGGTCGGTACCACAGGGAATTTGCAACTGCCTGATCTGCCCTCCCACGTCCACAACACTGGGATACTGGGACTACGTAAGAAGACAGGGGTTCTGGAAAGCCTTTGAAAGCCAGCAGACAGATTCAGGCCTGGGGTTGCTGTCACGGCACGTCTCGCTCTGAGACCAGGAGCCCGTGAGAAATGGCTGTCAGGGGATGGGGCTGGGCGTCACTGAATCTTGGTGAAGGCCGCGTTCTGTCACTTAATCGGACCAGTTCCTTAATGGCCTTAGGGAACCTGTCTGTTAAATGGAGAAGGATTCCTACTTCATCGGTCACTGTTAGGATTAAATGAGATAAAACAGTAAATGCCCAATAAATGTTATCCATATCTGTTAATAAGATTTTTCTCTTTCAGCTCACAGCCACTCAGGAAACAGGTAACGGATGACAAACGAGTGGCATCCCTTGCACAGAAGGGCCTGTGCAGGTGGCTCATCGCCAGGGCAGGGTGACCTCAGCAGGTGGGTGGCACCTGGCTCCTGCGAGACGAACTCCTCCAGGTCTGAGGACTCGATGTCGCTCCCGTGGCTCAGCCGGAAGCGGTGCTGGACGCCCATTGGGAGCACCTGCCCCTGGGGCTCCTCTGTGGATCCTGTCTATGGCAAGAACAACCAAAACTAAGTCAACAGGGCTTAATTGCCACTGAGAAGTTATTCAATTTTAACTCATTACATTTGTGAAAGTTGTCAGACTCAAAATATAGTCACCTGTGTGTTTTTTAAAAAACCTGGCCGGGCACGTGGCTCATGCCTGTAACTCCCAGCACTTTGGGAGGCCAAGGCGGGTGGATCGCTTGAGGCCAGGAGTTCGAGACCAGCCTGGCCAACATGGCGAAACCCCGTCTCTACCAGAAATACAAAAATTAGCTGGGTGCGGTGGCGGGCACCTGTAATCCCAGCTACTTGGGAGGCTGAGGAGGGAGAATTGCTTGAACCCGGGAGGCAGAGGTTGCAGTGAGCAGAGATCACAGCACTGCACTCCAGCCTGGGCAACAGAGCAAGACCCCTTCTCAAAAATAAATAAATAAATAAAGTTAAAATCGAGCCAGGTGTTTTTATGAAGGGAAGACATTTTCTTATTGAAATTTCCCTAAAGGGGGCTGGTTTGAAAGGAGAGAAGAGGAAACAGTCCTCTTGGGAGACCCTGGCCAGGAGCCGAGGCTTTTCCGCATGCTTTCATGAAGAGGGTGCTCAGAGTTGTGGTTTCCCATCCTCGAGGCGCTCAGCATGTGGGAGCAAAAGATCCCAGGACCCATGCATTCTCGTGCCTGGGTGTTTACACTTAGCTACAGATGCAGACACGCAGAAACCACTCTTTTATTATTATTATTATTATTATTATTGAGTAAGGGTCTCACTCTGCCACCTAGACTGGCGTGCAGTGCTGCAATCATAGCTCACTGCAACCCCCAACTTCTGGGCTCCGGTGATCCTCCCTCCTTAGCCTCCAGAGTAGCTGGGATTACAGGTGCACACCACCACACTGGTCTAATTTTTTAATATTTTACTTAGAGGTAGGGTCTTGCTATGATTCCTAGGCTGGTCTCAAATTCCTGGCCTCATTCAGCCTTTCCGCTTTGGCCTCCCAAAGTGCTGGGATTACAGGTGTGAGCTGGGGGAACCACTTCTGAATTCCCTGGGCGGGGGAGAGTTAGATGTTTTCCATTTTGGACATTTGCAAAAGTCAAATGATGATTTTTATATCCAAGTGATTTCCTATTACTTTAACAATCATGTTAAATTTTGAGCAATGTATCATCCTAAATAACAAACAGAGAGAGGTTCTGTAAAGGAAAATGACATTTATTTGGGGATAGGGCATTGCAATGGGAATACGGGTGTCATAGTAAATTATGTTTGTATTTGGGGAGGTAAAGGAAGATGAAAGTTGACACAGGAAAAATGAGGAGGATTACATAATTGTTTTGCGATAATTCTCCTTGGCTGTAAGGATCAATAACAGGGTGGCATCAGTCCAAGTTTCGACAGGCAGTTGCTGGCAGCTGTCCTAGCAGAAGTGTTTTTTTTTTTTTTGAAAGGTTATGATGATCTTTGTGCAACATTGTGGGGTTTGCAGAGTCTTTTGTGATAGTTTTTGTTATGAGAAGCCCTCCCCTTAATGCCTTTCCCCAGCTCTGTTTTTCAGCGTTTTTTGTAGTTGTTGTTGTTTTTGAGATGGACTCTCGCTCTGTCGCCCAGGCTGGAGTGCAGTGGCACCATCTCGGCTCACTGCAAACTCCGCCTCCTGGGTTCAAGTGATTCTCTTGCCTCAGCCTCCTGAGTAGCTGGGATTACAGGCACCTGCCACCACACCTGGCTAATTTTTGCACTTTTAGTAGAGACGGGGTTTTGCCATGTTACCCAGGCCGGTCTCGAACTCCTGACCTCAAGTGATCCACCCGCCTCGGCCTCGCAAAGTGTTGGGATTACAGCCACTGTGCCCGGCATCCATTTTAGCTTTAAAAGAGACTTTTGCAGTTACGACTATTGACAATAATTATCGCTGATGATGAACTCTTGGATATTAGTAACCCAGACAATGAGTCAGGGTTTTGCTGCCCATAAACAACACATTGTTACAAAGCTCATCTCATGCCACCCTCGCCATAACCCCACAAGTCAGGTTCTAGTCATTTCTGTTCTCCATAGTAAAGCAGCCACATGGAGGCTGAAGGGCTTGCCCCAGTTTGCACGGGCAGCCCCAGGTATGTTCGGCGCCGGCTGTCTCTGTCTCCAGCCCATGCACCGTCTCACGGCACTTCCGCAGATGGTGTTGACTCTGGAAGTTATTTCTGAGGCATCTGGAGCCACAACAACATTAACGGGAGCCCAGGGTCAAAACCCATCTCCAGGGTGCGCAGCAGTGGCTTCTCCTAATGAGAGGTTTCCGGGTGTCCGTGTGCACAACTGGACACAAGCTCCACTCACACTGTCCCAAAGACTGAGAGCCAGTGGGAGGTGGGAAGCAAGGCTCGCTCAGGGGCTGTCCCTGCCCTTTCTTCAATCATATTTGAAAACTACTTCCCAGTGTATTTTCTAGAAACTAGGCCCAAGGATGAAAATCGGGTTTACAGAGCAACAAGTGACCTAGACTTCACTTAAACAAAGGTGAAGACACTGGTTTTGCTGTTGTTGAGATATATATATATATATATATATTTTTTTTTTTGTTTGTTTGTTTTGTTTTGTTTTTGAGATGGGGTCTCGCTCTGTCTCCCAGGCTGGAGTGCAGTGGCATGATCTTGGCTCATGCAATCTCTGACTCCCAAGCTCAAGCGATTCTTGTGCCTCAGCCTCCTAAGTAGCTGGGACTACAGGTGTGCACCAACACACCCGGCTAATTTTTGTATTTTTAGTAGAGATGGGGTCTCGCCATGTTGGTTAAGCTGGTCTCGAACTCCTGGCCTCAAGTGATCCGCCTGCATCGGCCTCCCAAAGTGCTGGGATCACAGCCATGAGCCACTAGGCCTGGCCTGTTGTTGTTGATAAATTCTTAAAATAAGATTTTGGTTTTGGTTTTATATTTGTCACTTGTGATCATAAAACTTAATTAGGGCTCACCAAATACTGAATCATGCTGTTCTCCAAAGTGACTTTTAGAAACTCTTTCGGGTTTCCCAGGGTAGGGGAGTAGGAGGGATGGGTGCCTTGTGGTTCAGAACGGTGGCTTTGAAGCAAGAGCTACCGTTTGCCGCAACAGCTGGGTGACTATGCAATGACCTTGCACCTCTCAGTTTCCTCATCTGTACAATGGGCACAATCATAGTTCCTACCTCGTAGGGTTGTCAGGATTCTAAGACAACACAGAACAGTGTCTATCCCATAGTCAGTGCTAAGAAGTATAAAGCATCCTCTTTCCCTGCCTCCCTTCCATACTCCCATCTCCCCTCGCAGAACAATTGAAACCTAAGGTATGCTGGGAGTAGGGGGCAGCCAAGGCAGTAAAAGTGGGAGACAGGTTACATCCAGGAGGATTGACCACATCAGTGAATACAGTAAGGATCATGGGGCCAGGCTTCTCCCTGTTGGAGAAAGGAGCTACAAATATGGAAGAGGAGGCCGGGCGTGGTGGCTCATGCCTGTAATCCCAGCACTTTGGGAGGTTGAGGAGGGAGGATTGACTGAGCCCAGGAGTTCGAGACCAGCCTGGGTATCATGGTAAGACGCCCCCTTGTACAAAAAATACAAAAATTAGCCGGGCGTGATGGTGAGTGCTTGCAGTCCCAGCTACCTGGGCAAGACTCTGTTTCAAAAAAAAAAAAAAAAAAAAGGAAGAGGAGAAAACCAGGAGGGACTCCTTATGGAGGTGAGATGGAATTAGAGGTTCTGTTGTGAGCCAAGGCCGGCCGCAGGGGTGTGAGCCAAGGCCGGCCGCAGGGGTGTGTTCCAATAAATATAGATGTGAGCGAATGTCTGTGTACATGGTGTATGTATAAATGTGGGGGAAGTACGTACAGTACACGCACACAGGCCCTATCTCCTGCCGCTGAGAGGTCCTGGGGACAGTGACACCCCAGCATCAATGAGGACCCCAGCACCCAAGTGATAACTTCTAAATTCTATTTTCCACTAACAGAAACAGGGCTCCTGGAGAAATGTCTGATTCTAAGGCTGGGCAGTCTATGGCAGAAAGCAAGAAAGCCCTCAAAGAAGGATGGAGGTGCGTCCGATCACACAAAGGCTGGTTTAAATGGGCCCTCACTGGCCAAACTGAGCATCAAAATACATAATGACAGTAATGGGTTATAACCCAGTGAATCACATGGAGAGCCCTGAGTCTATGCAGATGTAAGAATATAAATAAACCAAGAGTTTAAAGAGGAACCGACATTCACATCACTCCAAAGTGGCTCCCTGTGTTTATCTCAGAATGCGGGGTTGCTTGAACATCTGAAAATCAATCAATGTAATCTACCAAATCAACTAACTAAAAAGGAAAATACAGTCTTCTTAACAGACACAGAAAAGGATTTGACAAAACCCAATACCCTTTTATGATTAAAAAAAAAAAAACAACCCAACAACATACAACAAACCGAGAATACAAGGGAACTTCCTTAACCTGATAAAGGGCATCTGCAACACCCACAGCAAACATGGCACTTTACAGTCAAAGACTGATGCTTTTCCTGTAAGATCAGGGCAAGACAAGAGGTCTGCTCTCACCGCTTCTATTCAACATGGTGCTGGCGGTTCTAGCCAATGCAATCAGGCAAGAAAAAGAAAGAAAAGGCATCTGGATGGGAAAGGAAGAAGTTAACTGTCTTTTTTCTCAGATGAGATGATTATCTTTGTGAAAAAGCCTACCGATTCTACAAACAAGCTAGTCTAACTAGTGAGGGACTTTAGCAACGTGGCAGAATATCAGGTGAGTATACAAAAACCAATTGTATTTCTATATGCTAGCCACAGACAATTGGAAACCATTTATAATGGCATCAAAAATGTGAAATACTGGGCAGGAGCGATGGCTCACACCTGTAATCCCAACACTTTGGGAAGCTGCGGCAGGCAGATCATTTGTGGGCAGGAGTTCGAGACCAGCCTGGCCAACATGGTGAAACCCCATCTCTACTAAAAATACCGAATTTTAGCCAGGTGTGGTGGTGTGTGCCTGTAGTCCCAGCTACTTGGGAGGCTGAGGCAGGAGAATTGCTTGAACCCGGGAGGCAGAGGTTGCTGTGAACCAAGATCATGCCACTGCACTCCAGCCTGGGTGACAGAGCGAGACTACATCTCAAAAAAAAGAGAAATACTTAGGGATAAATCTGCCAAAAGTTGTATAACACCTGTATACGTTTGTAAGCAAATATAAGAAGTCCTCAATAACTGGTTGGAATCTGTTGCAATTTTTTTCCCATTCTAAATAGTATTCGCCTTCCTATCTTAAACCAAAAAAGAAAAAAGCACCTTCCCACAAAATCTTCATTAAGTATAAAGGAGTAAAAGGTCGCTTCACAATGAAGAATCTTGGTGCTTTTAAATTTGGTGACAGAAGTGAACATCATCAGGAATGGTGGAAGCTGGAATCCTGCATCCCTGGTGGGACGCACTGAGAGCCCCACGTCGCTTCCGTGATAGTCCCACTAAAGCCTCATGACCCTAACCCCATCATGAGGAAACACGGGGCAAATCCAGGCTGAGGGGCGCTCTACAAGACAGCTGGCCTATGACCTTCACAAGGGTCAAGGTTGTCAAGGAAAGACTGAGGAGACTACAGAAATATGAGCACTCAAGGCAACATTTGATTCTGAACTGAATCTCTTTGCTACAAAAGACATCATTGGGACATTTGGTGAACCCTGAATGAGGCCTGAGCATTCCTTGGAAATGGAGCAAGGCAATTTCCAGAATTTTTTTTTTTTTTTGAGACAGAGTCTCGCTCTGTCGCCCATGCAGGAGTACAGGGGTGCGATCTCGGCTGACGGCAACCCCTGCCTCTCCAGTTCAAGTGATTCTCCTGCCTCAGCCTCCCGAGTAGCTGGGATTACAGGTGTGCACCACCACGTCCAGCTAATTTTTGTATTTTTAGTAGAGATGGGGTTTCACCATGTTGGCCAGGCTGGTATCGAACTCCTGGCCTCAAGTGATCCACCCGCCTTGGCCTCCCGAAGTGCTGGGATTACAGGCGTGCACCACCATGCCCGACCCAATTTCTAGATTTTGATGGTTGTGTCCCAGCTGTTTGTGGGAAACATACAGAAGCGTTCGAAGGCTTTGGTGACCAGATCCGCAACCCACTCTCCAGTGTTTAAGAAAATAAAAGATCCTTTTTATTGTACTCCATTTTTTTCTGTAACTTTGTGATTGTTTAAAGAAAATTGATGAAAAAATATAAGAACGCAGCTATTGTCATTGTTTTTATCTAGAACTGCACTATTCATTATGGCAGCCACTGGCAACAGGTGGCTATTTAAATGGAAATTAGAATCTTAAACAGTTAAAAGCTCCATTCCTCCAGCTCGCTAGTCACATTTGGAGAGCTCTCTGTAGCCACATGTGACTGATGGACCGTATTGGACAATGCTGCTCTGGAAGCCTGGGAACTTGGATGCCCTTACGTGGATGGCGGCTATGGAGGCCCCCAGCCTTGGGCTTGGGCAGACTGAAGCAGAGTCCAGGATCTCTCAGCATTTGACCGTGAATCCTGAGACCTAAGCTTGCTAAGAAATTTCTTTTCTTTTTTTTTTTTTTTTTGAGACAAGGTCTCACTCTGTTGCCCAGGCTATAGTGCAATGGTGGGATCTTGGCTCACTGCAGCCTCCGCCTCTCGGGTTCAAGCAATTCTCCCACCTCAGCCTCCTGAGTAGCTGGGATTACAGGCGTGCGCCACCACGCCTGCCTAATTTTTGCATATTTAGTAGAGACAGGATTTCACCACGTTGGCCAGGCTGGTCTCGAACTCCTGACCTCAGGTGACCCACCCACCTTCGCCTCCCAAAGTGCTGGGATTACAGGCGTGAGCCACCGCACCCAGCCTTGCTAAGACATTTCTAACAGGGATTGCAATTTGTATTTATAATGTATTCCCAAGTTCCTCACATAGGGTGACAAACCCCGTGGGCCGTGCGACACTGGCACAAAACAGAAGTCAGGGCTACTCACCAATCTGCCCACTGCTGGCCCAGAGGTGACCTGGCCCATTTGCTCCGACGGGCCTAAGACTCCGTGGGATGGCTCTGGGGAGGTGACCCTCCTTTCTCTGGATTCTGGTGGACCGGTGGCCTCTTGCTGGAAGCCTTGGAGACCAGCCTCCCCGCTAACACTATCGTATGCCTCCTCTCCAGGCAGTTCCTGAGGAGGACTGAAATACGGGTAAGTCGTATCTGCAGCACTGATTTGCCCTTCCGGGGATGAAGTTTCTGTATAGTAATATTCCTCTTCGCTTTCAGCATCTCCATAGGACACAGCCTCCTCTTCCCCTTCCACTGCTGCTTCCCCTTCTGTCTCCACCTCCCCCTCTTCAATTGCAGCTTCCGCTTGGGTTGTGACTTCCTCAGGATGCTCTGTGCTACCGACAGCTTCTTCACCTTTCTGGCCATCATCCTTCTCTGGTGGTGACACCTGTAAAGGTGTGGCAGGAAAAAAATCAGGAAACAAAGTATAAAGGACCTTGTGAGGTTTTATTCTTTATAGTGTAATTATATCAATGGGAAAACTGCATTTATACCCTTCTCAGCATCACTAAGAGATCATGTTTCACTTTGGGAGGCTGAGGCAGGCAGATCACGAGGTCAGGAGATTGAGACCATCCTGACCAACATGGTGAAACCCCGTCTCTACTAAAAATACAAAAATTAGCTGGGTATGGTGGTGCACACCTGTAATCCCAGCTACTTAGAAGGCTGGGGCAGGAGAATTGCTTAAACTCGGAAGGCAGAGGTTGCAGTGAGCTGAGATCGTGCCACTGAACTTCAGCCTGGAGACAGAGTGAGACTCTGTCTCAAAAAAAAAAAAAATCATGTTTCATGCTTCAGTTTATCTGTTCTTTCTTTTTTTATTTTTTTTTGTGACAGGGGCTCACTCTGCTGCCCAGGCTGGAGTGCGGTGGCGTGATCTCGGCTCACTGCAACTTCCACCTCCTGGGTTCAAGCGATTCTCCTGCTTCAGCCTCCCAAGTAGCTGGGACTACAGGTGTGTACCACCATGCCCAGTTAATTTTTCCATTTTTAGTAGGGATGGGGTTTCACCATGTTGGCCAGGCTGGTCTTGAATTCCTGGCCTCAAGAGATCCATCCGCCTCAGCCTCCCAAAGTGCCGGGACCACAGGCGTGAGCCACCATGCCTGGCCCTCTCTGCTTTTCATAATCATTTTTGCATCCTTTGTTACAGGAAATGAGTTCCGAAAAACTCAGGGCAACCCAAAGTTGGACATCCTTTGCATCCCTGACTAATCACTGACACTGTAGAATGGGGTAGGAAGAAAATGAGTCTCTCTTCAACTGAATTGAGTTTGTTCTGGTGCAAGATAATGTCATCATACAATATACTTGACCAAGTCCTAATTCTCTTTATTTATTTATTTTTAATTTAATTTTATTTATCTATTTTTTGAGATGGAGTCTCGCTCTGTCGCCAGGCTGAGTGCAGTGGCACAATCTCGGCTCACTGCAACCTCCATCTCCCAGGTTCAAGCCATTCTCCTGCCTCAGCCTCCCGAGTAGCTGGGACTACAGGCGTGAACCACCATGCCTGGCAAATTTTTGTATTTTTAGTAGAGACAGGGTTTCACCATGTTGGCCAGGATAGTCTCGATCTTTTGACCTCGTGATCTGCCTGCCTCGGCCTCCCAAAGTGCTGGAATTACAGGCGTGAGTCACCGTGCCCGGCCTATTTATTTATTTTTGAGATAGAGTTTCACTGGTCACCCAGGCTGGAGTGCAATGGTGTGATCTTGGCTCACTGCAACCTCTGTCTCCCGAGTTCAAGCCACTGTCCTGCCTCAGCCTCCCGAGTAGCTGGGACTACATGTGCGCACCACCACGCCCGGCTAATTTTTATATTTTTAGTAGAGATGGGGTTTTACCATGTTGGCCAGGCTTGTCTCAAACTCCTAACCTCATGTGATCCACCTGCCTTGGCCTCCCAAAGTGTTGGGATTACAGGCGTGAGCCACAGTGCCCGTACTCTGATTCTCTTTAATTCCTAGTAAATATAAGCCCGGAATAACTGCCCATAGGGAATTTTACCATGTGGCTTTCATTATTCCCTTCCTTCTCTCCCTCAGAAGCCGATCCATCTTCCGGATGGGACCTGGTTTTAGAGAAACAATTGAACAGTTTCAAGCAACAGCTTTCTTTTTCTTGGTCCTTATCCCCTCCTGAATTCTGCACATCTGTTTATTTACTTGTTACTTCTCTGCCACCCCCAGGCTGTTGTCACGTCTTTGTCCTGTTTGTCAGGAACCATAGCACTATATCATGCCTGTCAGGTGGCGGAGATGCCACAAAAGCAAAGCTCCATGAATGAATGAAAAATATAATTATTAAAACATCGAAGGAACAGCAGGATTAGATCACCCCAGAAAAGTCACCTCAAATATAACTTGTGTCTGGGACAAAACTGGGGAAAAGAAATACAACGTAGAGAAAGTAGCGCGATCAGAGTAAGTGTTCTGGGGACTCTGAGTTTCTCCACGATTTACGTAGCACAGGAATATATATATATATATATATATATGTATATCTTTTTTAAAAAATTAAAGATTCAAGCTATTTTTATCTGTCAAAGGAATATAGATATGTTCAAAGAGACAGACAGTGACAGTTCCCTGTGATCTTCCCTTTCCTTCCCAAGATAATCATTGATAACATTTAGGACCACATTCTTTCAACATTTTTCTATGTTTTAAACACACACACACACCCTGAATTAGAGATCATAGTATACCTACCCTTTTACATTTATGCCTATCGTTTTATTAATAATACCTTTAGTCTTTCCATGTCAATACATACAGACCCACCTTTAAAAAAATGAAACAATACCGATGTGTCTAAGGTAAAAAGGCCAAACTCTTTCCAATCGTTTCTATCCTTTTAAACAGAGCCTAAGCGAGCAGAGGCCCGGTGGCAGGGATCTTCACTCAGCCGCCCTCCCTGTGCGCGCTCAGTGCTTCCACCCAGGCCCCAGGACGGTGACCGCGGACTATCGCGGGCCGCCTAACCGCAGGGACCCCTCCCATCGCGGGTCACCCCCAAGCCTGCGAGAGGGGATCTGTCCTTGCAGGAGGGAGGCGCGGGGCCGGGCTGGTCTCCGGCCACAGCGAGTGGCCCCGGAGCAAGGTCAGGGGCGGTATCCAACAGCCCCGCGCCCTGCAGAGCCCTCTACTCTTAGGAGGACTGCGCGCAGGGACCGCCACGCAGAGTGGTTGCCATGGTGACTGCAGAGTGAGCGGTCCCGGGTTTTAGAGGGAGTCGCGCGCTTGGAGTAGGGGAAAGAGGGAGGCCGAGAGAGGACAAAGGGACAGGAGGGGAGAAGTGAGAAGGGTTGGCGGGGGGGTGAGGGGCTGAACGCAGTGGACGGGAAAGGCCAGCAAAATGGCGAGAGAAGGGACACAGGCGAGAGGAAGGGGGAGTGGAGGCGAAGGGGCGAGGCAGGAGCCGACGCGGGGGCCACCTGGAGCGGTGAACGGAGAGCGCGGCCTGGCGACTCCAAGACCCGCTGCCCCTCGGCCCGGCTTACCGGCCCGCCGCGCCGCCCGGTTCCGCCATTTCCCGTTGCTAGGCGACGCTGTCAACATCCGGCCGGGCCGGGACCACGCGCGCTGCGAGGGCGGGGGCCGCCGGGGGCGGCGCGGCCTTTGTGCCATCTCCACGCACGCAGAGGCGCGCGCCGTCTCGACGTGTCGTCCCTTAGACTGTAATGATTAGAGCACGACCATGCTTTTCCTTTATCGCTCTCTGCGCCCGGGTCCCGCCTCGGCTGCGCTCAATTTCTGTAAAGCGACAGCGGCGTCAGCGTGTGCCCAGCGGGCGGCTCGAGGTCCCGAAGGGACCTGCCGGGCACCTGGGGACCCCGGACTGCTAAGCGCCCGGGAATGGCAGGCGGGCTGGGGGCACCGGGGGCCGGGGACCCCGCGCATGGCGAGCGCTTTTCCATCTCCTGCCCTAGGGGGCTCCGGTGCCCTTCTCCAGGGGTCCTACGGAGACTCCTTGCATGGACGCCCGGGGGGTCTTCCGGAGCGTATCTTCCCTTCCTAGTCCGAAATAGGAGAAATCTCCCTGCAGAGGGCGGCAGCGGAGGGCCAGCGCGCACGCGGAGCGTCCGAGGAGCCCTGCCTTTCCTTTGGGGACGCCAGGCTCGGGACGGGGCACAGTCCCCGAGGCCGGGACGCGGCGAGGCCTGAGGGAGGGCCAGCAGGGAACTAGAGGCTTGGGCCCAGGGCTGGGCCAGAAGGTGGGCGGGGAGACCGGCGGGGGCAGGCAGGGGCCGGGCCGGGGGCGGGCCCGGGGGCGGGCCGGGGGCCGGGCCTCCCCGCGCGTCCCCGCCCCGCCGCGCCTCACTGGCGGCGGCAGCGGCGGAGGCGACGGTGGCGGCTCTCGGAGCCGGCGCGAATCCGGCCCCCGCAGCGGGACCCGGGTGGGTATCGGGGCCCGGACGGGGCCGCGGGGGCGGGGTCCGAGGGGTCCACCGCGCAGCGAGCAGCGCCCCCTCGGCGGAGCTGGGGCGGGGGCGCGCGGGGCGCGTGGGGCGCGTGGGCCTGCAGCCGCGGGACCGGGGAGGGGCCGGGGTCCGGCCGCCGTCCTCGGGGTGCGGGGCGCCAGCAGGAGCGGGAGCGTTGTGGGAGGACCTGGATCACGGAGGGGCACCTGGGGACTTTTCCCCGCGGCGAGTGAGGGCGCCCGGGCCCGGAATGGGCCTAATTCGGGGAGACTGGTCCCCGCCTGTCTGGAGCGGTGGACCGGGGAACTTGCGGTCTTTGTCTGGCTGAATCGGCGGAGCAGACGGATGAGAACTTGTGGGGTGCCGGCGCGCGCCCACACAGCCTCCAAAGTGTGCGTCCCCCCAGCAGCGCGCGCTCAGCTTTCCCGGCCTGTCGGGCTTGGTGGTCTGGGCTGTTTAAGATCCGCGTGTCGGGATACTCACTTCCGTTCCGCCTGGGCTCCCTTGTTCTTTCCTTTGGGAAAAAAAAAAAAAGAAAAAGAAAGAAAGAACGAAAGGAAGGAAAGAAAAAAAGGAAAGGCAACTGAAGATTGCTAAACATAACCTAGGGGATCCTGCCGGAAGCCGCTGAATCCTGAAATCCTGTGATTCCCACACTCGGAAGCTGGTGTCGTATATTGGCCACAAAGTAGTTCAGATTTGATTCAGAAATAGGAAATGAATAGAAAAGACATAACAAAAGTTAGTCTCGCCTTATGGTAAAGTTTGTTTTACTGTCTGGGTCAAGTTCAAATGAGAAGCTGGGCTGATTGGCCAGCCTCTGCGACTTGATCCTGAAGATCTGCTTTCTTTTCTACCAGAAGGCTCCTAATTCTTTTATCTGGAATAAAAAGGGAACTCCGTCTTAAAGATGCTCACGTGAGGCGGCATATTGCCAGAGGGTGGGCGCAAAGACTGGGGGCTGGAGATTCCATTCCAAATCTGTTACTGATTGATCAGAACACTTTTTCAAATCCATGCCTCAGTTTTAGAAAATCCTCATTAGAAACGCTAACAGTAAAATTGGTGAATACTAAACACTTTTAAGAACCATGAAAGCTTTTGTAAATAAAGAATAAAGTGAGGAGTAACTTTTGGTATTAACTACAAAGTTCATTAATGGATGTTGTTTGCATCCTGAGCGTGGTTATTGTGCGCATATTTTTTTGTAAGTGGCATGTTTATGGTGAGACTATGGCTAACGAAAGTTTTTATGGCGAAAGTTTTTATGGCTGGGCGCCGTGGCTCACGGCTGTAATCCCAGCACTTTGGGAGGACGAGGCGAGCGGATCACCTGAGGTCAGGAGTTCGAGACCAGCCTGGCCAATATGGTGAAACCCCCCATATCTACTAAAAATACAAAAATTAGCCCGGTGTGGTGGCGTGAGCCTGTAATCCCAGTACTCAGGAGGCTGAGACAGGGGAATCGCTTGAGCTCGGGAGGCGAAGGTTGCAGTGAGCCAAGATGTGCAACTGCACCCCAGCCCGGGTGATAGAGCAACATTCTATGTCTCAAAAAAAAAAAAAAAAAGGAAAAAAAAAGTTTTTATCTGTGGAATTATTTAATCCTCTAGCAATTTTGGTGATTGCGTTAGTAGTTCCTAATTATCATGCATGAATTCACTTAACCCACAAAACAAGCTCATGAAGTCAGGACTGCAGTTATGCCCATTTACAGATGGGAACACTGACGCTTAGAGAAGTAACTTCCCAAGCTCATGCAGTTAGGAGTGACAGAATTAGGCCTTAGGCCCAGGACGTCCCAGCTCCAGAAAACCGTTGTACAACTTTGCCCTCTGTCTTACAGAGGGTGCCCACCATTCATATACAAACATTCTTCCAAGTGGTTCATAACAGTGCAAGGAGGTGGGACTAATCCCATGTCACCACTAGCTGCTAATCTCAGTTCACTTCAGTATGGAAAGCATCCCCCAGGCTTCAGGATAAAGCCATTGAGTTTGCAGAACCTACCTACAATTGCACTGGTCTCTGTCCACAGTTTTGGGTAATAAGGTGCAGTGGTTAAGAACATGGCGTAGAAAGATGGACTGCTGGCTTCAAATACAAATCCTGGACTGGGCATAGTAGCTCACACCTATAATCCTGTATTTTGGGAGAATCACTTGAGCCCAGAAGTTCAAGACCACCTTAGGCAACCTAGAGAGACCCTATCGCTACAAAAAATGAACAAATTAGCTGGACATGCTGGTGGGCACCTATGGTCCCAGCTATTTGGGTGGCTGAGGTGGGAGGATAGCTTGAGCCCGGGAGGTCAGGGCTGCAGTGAGCCATGACCAGCCTCTGCATTCTAGCCTGGGTGACAGAGTGAGACTCTGCTTAAAAAAAAAACCTAAAAAACCCAAACAACAACAACAACAAAACAACAACAAAAACCCCAACTCCTCTGGCACTTAGTTAATTCTCCAGTGCCTTAATTTCCCCATCTATACTACCTACTTCAGAGACTTTGTGCAAGGATTATGAAAAGCATTGAATTCCTGACACATCCTGAGTTACCATTTAGGATGTGGTAAGTAATGTCAAATGGTAACATTTTAACACTGTTATTAATGACCGTTATTTGGATTTTCCACATTTAACTAGATTGACACAAAACATTTTGTTTTTGTGCTTTGACTCCTCACTCCCCTTTGTGTGGTCCATGAGGTGGAAAGTGATTCCAGGCAGATGTAGGATTTACTATTTGTGCGTATGTGTACCCTTATCTTTACAACTTGACCGGGGGCTGGGTCCCTGCAGGATGCTATGGGGAGCAGAGCTGATCAGGTTGCCTGGCAACACCACCTCCTGTGAAAATTTTAGCTCCCCTTCTTCCCTGGCTGAGGGACCCTGATTTTTGTCACAGGCCTAAATTCTCTTGTAAGATTAGCTACTTTGTTTCATCCAGCATTAAGCACCGGGGGCGGGTGGCTCTGGGATGTGAAGGTGACAGCGCAGAGGATGATTTTATGATCGAATTGTACACCATTTGTATTGCATTTGCATTATATTGCTGTTAATGAGGCCAGTGCACAGGAGAGAGCACACATTTGCACCCTTCCCAAAAATATGGGGCAATGATGTTGGAGGCCTTTTTCCGTTCACCTCAGCGGCAGTGTTTTTTATCCTGTTGGCTTTGTTGGTGTTTTTATCCTATCTGTCCTTTGAGCACCTGATGTTGCATCTCTAATAAATCTGCTTTTATGAGCTGTCTGGTGGCATCTGATTTGAAATACGTTCTTTACTCTGTCTTCGGAACTTACATAACCATCCTCAAAGGATGAGAGAAATCGGGCCACTGTAAGACTAAGTTCGATTTCTGCCCGTGGTGGCTTCTGACACATGAATAACAGAAAGAAAAGAGAAATAATCCAAATCCACTGTCCAGTCGGAATGGCCTGCCCTTCTGTTGCTGAGCCTTGGGCGGTGAGTCTGTGCAGGCGTTGGAAGGTGATACATGTGTCTGCTTGCCTGTATGGGCTGCAGACGCTGAGATGTGGCAGTATTTTCTCCGTGGTCTTTCTGGATTGGTCACTATGAAGCCAACGTACTGCGGGTGCCAAGCCCGCATCCATGCTGGCTTGCACACTTCAGTCGTGTACTGCTTTTTGCATGTTGAGTGAGCCTGAATTCAATGCTCCAATATAGTTCATCATTACTCTAGCCTTCTGGAAGTGGGGGAAAGGGTGAACTTTACAGATGTCATTTGACAGCCTTTTGCCTTTTCTGTAACTAAAATGCTTTCCAAAGCAAGATCAGTTGTGTTGCTTTTGGGTGTTGTTAATATGTCCCCCCAGTTTCAGTTTTGTTTTGCGGTGCATTCACTGCTCCTTCACTGACAGATGCTGAGAAGCTTTAGGCCTCCATGTTTACAGGCACAGCATAGAAGTAGGAGGTACCTGAGCCAGACTCAGGGCAGTTTTTGATTTCCTGGCTGGGTCTGCATCTTCCCTTACCCTTTGTGTTTAGTCTTTCCTTAGTCCCAGATCCAGGCTCACCTCTGAGTTGAGTTTCTTCTCCCAGGCCTGACCTCCTTGGCTCTTTGCGGGGGAAATGGGATTTTACAATCTACTATCAAGGGTGCACAAATGGCAGATGGTCTCTCCTTGGAGGCAGAGGCTTTGGGGTTTTCCAGGGAGTGGGTGCTAATCAGGGTGACCGCTGGACAGTTGCAAAAGGAGAGTCACAGCCACACAGGCCACCAGGTTTTCCCTCACCACCGTTTTGGTGATGGTCCTGCCCCGTTATAGCCTCTCAGGGGTCCTCTTTCCCTATGGTCCAAGATCCCAGCACTGCAGTGAATGCCCTAAGCCCTAGTTTCTTCATTTTAAATACAACTTGATGTCCCGTTCTCGCTTCTGCATAGAGGCTCATCTTTGGGCCCCAGGCTTTCCGGGTGTATCCTGAATGTGGCTTCTGTGTGCAGCCAGTATCTTTATTTTCTCAATTCATCCTGTAACTTGAAGTTCAGCGCAGCTGCGAGGAGAAATCACGGCGGCCCCGCAGGGGATTATCCTCCTGATGAGACTGAAGGAGCTACCTTCCCCAAGCCTGCTGCCCGGGGACTGGGTCCTGATCCTGGCTGCCTACAAGATTCCATATCGCCCTTTGACCCGCAAAGCCAGGGGTTCCCAGGAAGATGGGTAGGGCCCCTGCCTGGCTCTGGGCAGGTGGAGGAAGCTGGGGCCTCATCCAAGGCATGCCAGCAGCAGACGTTCTGCAGCGGGGGCAACGCGATCCTTGTTTGCGTGTGTCTGGCTCGTGTTTAATAAGGTGTCGCTGTTTCCCTGTTCTTTGTTGCTTGGGCTTTGAGGGCAAAGCAGATGAACCAGTTTCTGCCGGCCATGTGCCAGGTGACCGGGCTCAGTGCGTGTTGCTCCTGAGCAGTCTGGCAGTGACATGGCCATGGGAATAATCGGTGGTGGGCTGCGTCCCGTGGCCCCCACACCCTGCCTGCCTCTGCCTCTGCCCCTGCCTGTCACTAGTGGGCATGGGCTGCGTCCCTCTGGTGAGTGGGAACTGCCAGCTCCATGGGTTTCCAGGACCAGGTCTGTCCTGCTGACTGCTGCATCCTGGCCCCTAACCCAAGGTGGCCCTGAGGCCGGTGCACGGCACAGAGTGAGCAAGAGAAGAGGCTGGGGTGATACCTCTCTCCTAGTGGCTCCAGGCTACCTCCAGGAGGGTTCTGGAAGAGACTTTTGCACCTCTGTTCTTTTTGTTTTCCTGTTTGGGAACTGATGAAGCCCTTTAGGCCAGGACAGGAAACTAAGACCTTAGGTGGAGGCAGCCTCCACGGGCAGGTCCTGGTCATGAACCTGTAGCCCACCTGTGTCCATTCTCGCTGCCCTCACAGGGACGTCGGGGCCCAGGCGTGCTCCTCTCCTGGGTTCTAGGCCTCGGTCCTCATCCTACTGCTAAAAGAGTAGTCACTCTGCGTGGGGGGTTCACCGTCAGTGGGTGAGCAGGTCAGAGGCCGCCCTGCGAGTTGGAAATCAGCTCCTTACAGTGTCCTCGGTTTGGTGTGGTTGGCAGAAGAATGGCCCCCAAAGATGCCCATGTCCTAATCCAGGGAATTTGTAAATATGGTATGTTACGTGGCCACGGATTCAAGTTGGGGATGGAATTAAGGTTGCTCAGCAGCTGACCTTGAAATGGGGGATGATCCTGGGTTATATGAGTGGGCCTGATGCAATCGCAGGATCAGGCAGGAGAGTCAGGGTCAGAGAGATGAGGTATGAGAAGGACTCGATCGGCCACTGCTGGCCTTGAAGATGCAGGAAGGGGTCGAGAGCAAGGAGTGTGGGTGACCTCTAGAAGCTGGAAAAAGCAAGAAAACAGACTCTCCCTTAGAGCCTCCAGGAGGAACCAGCCCTGCTGATACCTGGTTTTAGCCCTGTGAGACCCATTCCAGATTTCAGACCTCCAGGACTGTAAGGTTATGCATTTGTGTTGTAGCTGGTAAGTTTGTGTCATTTGTCACAGCAGCCGTAGGAAGCTCATACGCGTGGAATGAGGGCTTTCAAAAGGAGACAAGAGGGGAGACGGTTGTGTCATTTCTTTATCTGTGTTTGCTCATTTCTGGTTTTCTGGTGACTTTGCCACTTTCTACATTGAGGAGGACTCTCTTTTCTAGGGTATAAGTCACCAAATCTTGGGCAGTGAATTTTGGGTAGTAGATGTCCTAACCTCATGCCCTGTGAATATTTGCTAGAGAAGACCCACCCCCACTGCTCACACAGTGAGTCACCAAATCTTTGGCTGTTCCAGGCCAAGTTTCAGTGGCCAAGTGGCTCCTAGGGGACGGGAAGGGAACATGTGTGGTTAACAGCAGGCTCACAGCTGCGCCCTGTGTCAGCTCCAACCCAACAGCCTGGCCAGTTCCCAACAGCATTGTGAAAGAATAGATCTGCTGCCCCTCTCCTCCCCTGCCCGCCCCTCTCTCCTTAGGGCTTCTGAGGTTTCCCACGTCTTCACCTTGCAGGCAGCTCCCCCTACTCCAGCCCCCTCAAAGCGCTCTCGTCCTGGAAGCAGACTTCAGCTACCTTTATCACCAGTTTAACACCCCTGCCAGCTGCAGGTGCTGCGACTCCATGCTTCTCAATGGTGCTCTAATTCTTAAAGAGTTGCAGGTTTCTGGGAAAGAATGACTCTCTGGTGGAGGAGTTTCTGCACAGTTTTTTGTTTTATGAGCCTGTGTATTTTTGTTGAGGAATGGCCAAGTTGTTCTTTCCTTTCGAATTACACAATGGCCTATTTTGCAGAAATCTGGCCCTACCTACTGGTCACCAATGGCTTTGAGCAGCACAGAAATCAACTGGTCGGCTCGGGGCGGTGGCTCACGCGTGTAATCCCGGCGCTTTGGGAGGTCGAGGTAGGCGGATCACGAGGTCAGGAGATTGAAACCATCTTGGCCCACATGGTGAAACCCCGTCTATACTAAAAAAAATACAAAAGTTAGCTGGGTGTGGTGGCGCGCGCCTGTAATTCCAGCTACTCTGGAGAATTGCTTGAACCCAGGAGGCGGAGATTGCAGTGACCTTAGATTGCGCCACTGCACTCCAGCCTGGGCGACAGAGCGAGACTCTGTCTCAAAAAAAAAAAAAATCAACTGGTCATCATGCCCCGGTCTGATGGTTTAGAATCAGCATTGACGCTTTTACTTTTTGCCTTCTAAAATCATTCTTTTTTTTCTTTTTCTTTTTTGAGATAGAGTCTCGCTCTGTCACCCAGGCTGGAGTGCAATGGTGCCATCTTGGCTCACTGTAACCTCTGCCTCCTGGGTTCAAGCGATTCTCCTGCCTCAGCCTCCCGAGCAACTGTGATTACAGGTGTGTGCTACCATGCTCAGCTAATTTTTGTATTTCTAATAGACAGGGTGTTACCATGTTGGCCAGGCTGGTCATGAACTCCCGACTTCAGGTGATGCAACTGCCTCGGCCTTCCAGAGTGCTGGGATTACAGGCGTGAGCCACTGCGCCCGGCTATTCTTTTTTTCTTTTCTTTTTTTTGTACACTCAAGCTGATGCAAATTGTAGATCTTGGCTTCAATCCATCTGTGAATTCTTTGTGCCAACTGCCAAGTTGGCATTGCTATCCTTTCCATCAACAAAAACAAGGCATTTGGAACCTTAACGAAGATGGCATTCTGGGAGGCACATTATAAAAGGAGCGTCTCGGAGGTGTCATGCACTCGGGAGCTTATTATTGAAAACACAAACCAACAAGGACATCACCGTTTCAAAATACAAATGTGAAGTGGATGCATTTGAGGAGAATGGGGGGTTCTTATTGTCAAGGATCTACCCTTAGCTGCTTCTCTTTTTTTTTTTTTTTTTTTTTTGAGTTGGAGTCTTGCCGTGTTGCCCAGGCTGGAGTGCAGTGGTGCGATCTCAGCTCACTGCAACCTCTGCCTCCCGGGTTCAAGCAATTCTCCCGCCTCAGCCTCCCAAGTAGCTGGGATTACAGGCGCCTGCCACCATGCCCAGCTAGTTTTTGTATTTCTAGTAGAGACGGGGTTTCGCCATGTTGGCCAGGCTGGTCTCAAACTCCTGACCTCAAGCGATCTGCCGCCTCAGCCTCCCAAAGTGCTGGGATTACAGGCATGAGCTACTGCACCCGGCCTCTTTTTTTTTTTGAGACAGGGTCTTGCTCTGTCACCCAGGCTGCAGTGCAGTGGCGCAAGTACAGCTCATTGCAGCCTCAACTCCCAGGGTCGAGCGATCCTCCCACCTCAGCCTCCTGAGTAGCTGAGACTATAGGCACAGGCCACCAAGCCTGGCTAATTTTTAAAGTTTTTTTGTAGAGACAAGGTTTCTCCATGTCCCCCAGGCTGATCTCGAACTCCTGGGCTCAAGCGATTCTCTTGACTCAGCCTTCTGAGTATCTGGGACTATAGGCACATGCCACCATGCCCAGCTAATTTTTGCTTTTTTGTAGAGACGGGGTTTCACCATGTTGCCCAAGCTGGTCTCAAACTCCTGGACTCAGGCGATCCGCCCACCTCGGACTCCCGAAACTGTTAGGATTGCAGACATGAGCTACCGTGCCCAGCCTCCTCAGCTTCTCTATCCATCTTCATCTCTCAGGATTTGGGGAGGGGATTTGTAATAATTGCCACAAGGTGCTTTGAGCATCTTGCATTGCTATTTTGATTTTGATGAACTCTGAGTCCTTCCTATAGATTGGAAAAGCCTGGTGTCTGTTCTTTGCTGCAGGCCTGTCTCAGCTCCCTTTCCAGTGTTCACTCATTTTGTGTCTTAGGAGTTCTGCTGGCTGCCCCCGCCTCTGTTCGTGTACTGATGAGAAGGCATCTGGCCCCTAGGAAGAGCCCCAGGCCCGCAGAAGGGAACCTGGATGTCCCCCTTGCTCTGAGTTCCATACTGGGGCAGCCTTCCTGACATCCAGCTTCCTTGCCTCCCAGGACGAATGGTTTTCTTTGCCCCCCTCAAACCCCGCAGGACTCCAGGTCCCTAAGGTCATGGGCATCAACTGCTCCACACTGCTGTGGGCAAGGGCCATTCAAAGTCTTGCATCTTGCAGATTCAAGGACATTAGGAAACTCTCCCATCAGACAACTTGGGCTGCCGGCAGCTGGGTTCTCAGTCCAGGAACCAAACGTTGTCTTTGACTCTGCTCTGTTCAGCCTGCCTCTAGTGCCTGCCTGTTCTCGGCATTGGTCCACACAACTCCACCCTCGTCCACGCCTCCTCCACACCTCTTTGGATGCAAGCTTCCTGATCTCAAGCCTCTTTTTATTTTAAACTAATAGATTCCCCCCTCCCCCAGAAGATGATGTTTGTTTGTTTTGGAGAGAGAGTCTCCCTCTGTCACCCAGGCTGGAGTGCAGTGGCACAATCTTGGCTCACTGCCACCTCTGCCTCCCGGGTTCAAGTGATTCTCGTGCCTCAGCCTCCTGAGTAGCTGGGATTACAGGCGTGCGCCACCATGCCTGGCTAATTTTTGTATTTTTAAATTAGCGATGGGGTTTTGCCATATTGACCAGGCTGGTCGTGAACTCTTGACCTCAGGTGATCCACCCGCCTTGGCCTCCCTAAGTGCTAGGATTACTGGCGTGAGCCACCATGCCCGGCCGCCCCTTTCTTTTTAGTATTAAATAATCCTCCATTATTTAGGTGTATCACAGTTTATTTATTTATTCAGCTGTTGGAGAACATCTCGGTTGCTTCTGAGTGTTGGCAGTTATGAGTAAAGCTGCTCTCAACATCCGTGTGCAGTTTCTGCGTGGCGGACTTCATTGTTTAGAGCAGTTTTAGGTTTACAGAAAAATGAGCAGAAGGTACAGAGTGCTGTATGTGAGGAGATAGGGGGCGGGGGGCCACTGCTTCCCTGTGGGGCTTCCTGTCTCATGGATTGAGAGTCCTTAAGGAGGCCTGGACGCCATTCTCTGTACCTCTGTTCCTGCTGTGTGAAGAAGGAACCGTGTGACACCGACAGGTGAACCTTCCAGGGTCCCTGGGTCTTAGGGACACAACCAAGGGACAGAAGTGGACCAGAAGTCACTGCCCTGGGCAAGCTCCTGGCCATTAGGCAGCAGTGTCTCCCTGGCACTCTAGCAGGAGGGTGCTCCTGGGTGGGGGTGGGGGGCTCCTGGCAGGGGGGTGCTTCCAGCAAGGAGGTGCTCCCAGCAGGCGGCTGCTCCCAGCAGGCGGGCCCCGAAGCCCAGGTGCCAGGACTGCTGCAAAACTCTCCAGGGCTCTCCGGGGGCATTTGCCAGGCCCCTTATTCAGCCCTCAGAGCCTAGGCGCCCCCTCCTCCAGCTCACAGAGCCTGCACTTCCTGCCGCCCGGTGACAGGTGGCTGACTTGTGTTTATGGACCCAAGACAGACCAGCATGGGGGCTGGGTAGGGAGGCTCCTGCGGCCCCGGATCCGCCTGGGGCTTCCCTAATCCTGGAGACAGCTGGGAAGGAGTGGGGCCCAGGCAGCCTCTGGCGTGTCAACACTGGCGCTGTCGGAGAACAGAGGCAAAGCTGGTAGAGCAGAGGGTGGCTGTGTGTGGTGTGTGTCATGGGGTGCGTGTGTGTCATGGTATGTGTGTGTCTATGGTGTGTGTGTCCTGGTGTGTTTGTGTGTGCCTATGGTGTGTGTGTGTCTGTGGTGTTTGTGTGTATATGGTGTGTGTGTGTCATGGTATGTGTGTGTGTGTCATAGTGTGTGTGCCTGGTTGTGTCATGGTATGTGTGCATCTGTGGTGTGTGTGTGTGTCTATGGTGTGTGTGTAGAGTGTGGTGTGTGCCTACGGGGTTGTGTGTGTGGTGTGTCTATGGTGTGTGTGGTGTGTGTGTCTATGGTGTGTGGTGTGTGTGTGATGTTTATGCAGTGTGCCTATGGTATGTGGTGTGTGATGTATGTATCTGTGGTGTGTGTCTACGGTGTGTATGTAGTGCGTGTGTCTATGGTGTATGTGCCTATGGTTTGTAGTGTGTGGTAGGTATGTGTGTCTATGGTGTGTATGTAGTGTGTGTGTCTTGGTGTCTGGTGTATGTGTGGTGTGACTATGGTGTGTCGTGTGTGGCATGTGTGTCTATGGCATGTGTGTCTGTGTGTCTATGGTGTGTATGTCTATGGTGTGTGTGGTGTGTGTGCTTATGGTGTGTGGTGTGTGTGTCTATGGTGTGTGGTGTGTGGTGTGTGTGCCTATGGTGTGTCGTGTGTGGTGTGTGTGTATATGGTGTGTGGTGTGTGCATGGTGTGCGTGGTTTGTCTATGGTGCGTGTGGTGTGTGTCTATGGTGTGTGGTGTGTGTGTCTATGGTGTGTGTGGTGTGTGTGTCTATGATGTGTAGTGTGTGTGTCTATGGTGTGTGTGGTATGTGTGTCTATGGTGTATGGTGTGTGTGTCTGTGGTGTGTGTTGTGTGTGGTATGGTGTGTGGTGTGTGGTATGTGTGTCTATGGTGTGCGTGGTGTGGGGTCTATGGTGTGTGTGCTTCTCGGCCTCTGACTCCTCCGGGGTGGGAGCAGCAGGCATGGGGTTTGGGATCTCCAAGGGGCTGGGGTCCGTGGGGCGTGCCCCGCTGCAGTCCTGCCTGGTGGGCTGAAGTGGGGCCTCTGGTTGGGGCCGGGGCTGCGGGTAGGGCCGGGCAGGACCGTCTGGCCCGGAGCTGCGCTTTGTCGCGGAAAGCCAAAAGCCGCTTCTGCTTAGCCGGCCGGCGAGGGATTTGGGCCCCGCCCGCACTCGCCGAGGGCTGCGTCCTTACCTTCTGCGCTTGGTCCTCCAACCTCGTCCTGGAGGGGCCTGGGAGCCCTGTCCGCCGGAGCTCTTTCCTCCCGCTCTTCTGACAGGATCGGGTTAAACTCAGATTTCTCTTCTCTGGCTGGAGGGCTCCGTGGAGCTGCAGAATGAGGGCGCTGCCAAGGTGGATTTTGGACCCTGAATGGAAATTCACACCAGGGCTGGAGGCGCCAGCTGGGCCTGGGAGGTGGGAGATGAGGGCGGCCTGACACAACCCGCTGTGACTGTGGCCGGGGTGGTGGGAGGGAAGCCCACAGCGGGGCCAGGCGGGCCACCGAGGAGCAGGGCCACCCCAGCCACGCCCTGAGCCGGTGGGGGGGGGCCCGGCAGCAGTTCTCGCTCCTGGCCTGCACCGAGGTGAGGAATGCCTGGAAGGGTCCCTGGGTGTGCACAGCCTGGACCAGTGGGCTGTGCGCTCTAAGTGGCACTGAGCGTCTCTTTCAGCAGTGGCCACACGAAGCAGGATTGAGATTCGGGGAAGAAGTGGCCGCAGGGGCTGTGGGCCTCCGCAGGGAAGGGTCTCTGACGAGCTTGCCCTGGGCTCATGGGGAACTGTGGCTTCATGCTGGGACTGCGGGGCGGAAGGAGGGCATGGAGGGCTGTGGCTGCCCGGGTACTGTCCCATGGTAGCCTCCGAGCAGCTGTCGCTGGAGCCCGTTCGCAATACCCCTGGAGGGCCGCCTGCCCATAAAGGGGAGGGGAGCAGCTGGGCTTGATCTTTGGAAGGGACATCTGGTGAATTTCTGAAAACGTATTTTATTGCAGGTGCTTTCAGCAGGGTGGAGGGGGTGGCCTGGGGAGGAAGTTAAAATGACCCCGCCTGTCCCATTTCGCGGTAAATCTTGCCTGTGATGAGCCATTACTCTCACCAGAGCGTGTGATAGTATGAGAACCGTGGATCTCACACACGTGTTTGTCACATGTGCAGCGTTGCGGCAGCTGAGAGGGTGTGGACCATGAGGTGGGCCAAACCACATAGGCCTCCGGGTCACGGCCAAGGCACCTCTTAAAATTGTCCATAAAGTTTTATATAATAAATGTCCCCGGCCAGTCATGGTGGCTCACGCCTGTAATCCCAGCACTTTGGGAGGTTGAGGCGGGCGGATCACCTGAGGTCAGGAGTTTGACACCAGCCTGGCCAACATGGCAAAACCGTCTCTACTAAAAATACAAAAATTAGCCAGGTGTAATGGCAGGTGCCTGTAATCCTAGCTACATGGGAGGCTGAGGCAGGAGAATTGCTTGAACCTGGGAGGCGGAGGTTGCAGTGAGCCAAGATTGTGCCATTTCACTCCAGCCTGGGCGACAGTGTGAGACTCCACCTCAAAAAAATAAAAACAGGGCCGGACGTGGTGGCTCACGCCTGTAATCCCAGCACTTTTGGAGGCCAAGGCAGGTGGATCACCTGAGGGCAGGAGTTCGAGACCAGCCTGGCCAACGTGGTGAACTCTGGTGTCTACTAAAAAAATACAAAAATTAGCCAGGCGTGGTGGTGGGCACCTGTAATCCCAGCTACTCGGGAGTCTGAGGCAGGAGAATCACTTGAACCTGGCAGGAAGAGGTTGCAGTGAGCCAAGATAGCACCACTGCACTCCACTAGCCTGGGCAACAAGAGAGAAACTCTGTCTCTAAATAAATAAATAAATAAAAATAAACGTCCCAGCTTTATTAATTTATCATAGATTTCAGTGTTTTTGTCAGATAACTGAGTAAGCAATAAAAACAGGGCCTAGCAATAAAAACAACATAAACACTCAATGAACTGCTCGATACTTTAGTTAACATGTGAGTCCCTTTCAGGTAAATATATGCTTTGAATTAGGCTTTTGAAACATTAAAAGTAGTTCATTGAACATAGAAGAAAATATAGACCAATGTTTAACGATCTTTAGCTTGGAAAGGATTATATTAAGTATAAAAGTAATAAAGGAAGTTACTAAGAAAAAGTTACCATCAATTTACATAAAAGTTTTAAACCTCCGTATGTCAAAATAGGTAATATAAATAAAAGGCAAACAACAAATTAGGAGAAATACATGTGTGTCATGGTATGTGTTTGTGTGTGTCATGGTGTGTGTCATGGTGTGTGTTTGTGTGTCATGGTGTGTGTGTGTCATAGTGTGTGTGCCTGGGTGTGTCATGGTATGTGTGCATCTGTGGTGGATGTGTGTGTCTATGGTGTGTGTGTAGAGTGTGGTGTGTGCCTATGGGGTTGTGTGTGTGATGTGTCTATGGTGTGTGCAGTGTGTGTGTCTGTGGTGTGTGGTGTGTGTGTCTGTGATGTTTATGCAGTGTGCCTATGGTGTGTGCCTATGGTATGTGGTGCGTGATGTATGTATCTATGGTGTGTGTCTATGGTGTGTATGTAGTGATCTTTACTATATAAAGAGTTCTTACATATCAATGAAAATTCCATCTCAGCTTAATCTCTGTATTAAAAATAATAAGAATTCCACCACGCCAGCAGAAAAATTGTCAAAGCACACCAACAGATAATTCACAAGTGAACACAAATGTCTAATAAATATAGGATAATCTGTCACCCAGGGTGGGGTGCAGTGGTGCAATCATGGCTCAATGCAGCCTCGACGTCCTGGGCTCAAGTGATCCACCTTAGCCTCCCGAGTAGCTGGGATTACAGGCACACACCACCACCCCCAGCTAATTTTTTAGAAGTGGGATCTTGTTATGTTGCCCAGGCTGGTTTGTTTGTTTGTTTTTGTTTTTTGAGATGGAGTTTCACTCTTGTTTCCAGGCTGGAGTGCAATGGCACGATCTCGGCTCACTGCAACCTCCACCACCTGAGTTCAAGCGATTCTCATGCTTCAGCCTCCCGAGTAGCTGGGATTACAGGCATGCACCACCATGCCTGTCTAATTTTGTATTTTTAGTAGACACGGGGTTTCTCCATGTTGGTCAGGCTGGTGTCGAACTCCCGACCTCAGGTGATCCACCCGCCTTGGCCTCCCAAAGTGCTGGGATTACAGGCGTGAGCCACCGTGCCCGGCCCTGCCCAGGCTGGTTTTGAGCTCCTGGGCTTGAGCAATCCTCCCACGTCAGCCTCCCAAATTGTTGGAATTACAAGTGTGAACCACTGTGCCCAGTCAGAAAACCATTTTTCAGTTCCCAGCCTGGTGGAGATTTAAATCCCTGGCAGCACTCTTACATTTCGGGGAACCCACTGGGCAATACGAGTTGGGGTCCAGTTTATCCTCCTGGGGAAACAGTAATCCTGGAAATAATGAGGATACAGATGAAGATTTATGTATTAAAATGTGGAGTTTATTATTTCAGTAGCCACTAGTTGGAAGCCAGATGCCTAGCAATGGCGGCTGATTCTATGAAGATGGAGGGTTGGCATTTATAATTTTTATTTTTATTTATTTATTTGTTTTGAGATGGAGTCTCGCTCTGTCTCCCAGGCTGGAGTGCAGTGGCGCCATCTCAGCTCACTGCAACCTCCACCTCCTGAGTACAAGCAGTTCTCCTGCCTCAGCCTCCTGAGTAGCTGGGACTACAGGCACCCGCCCCTACGCTTGGCTAATTTTTGTATTTTTTAGTAGAGACAGGATTTCACCATGTTGGCCAGGCTGGTCTTGAACTCCTGATCTCAGGTGATCCGCCCGCCTCAGTCTTCCAAAGTGCTGGGATTACAGGCGTGAGCCACCACACCTGGCCTTATACTTTTTAAATGTGTTAATAATGTGGTATATTTGTTTGCTAGGGCTGCCCTAACAAAGTACCAGGGTCCAGGTGGCTTGAGCAATAGAAATCTCTCTGACAGCCCTGGAGGCAGGAAGTCTAAGATCAAGGTGTCGGCAGGATTGTTTCCTTAGGAGGCTGTGAGGGAGGGGCTGCTCCAGGCCTGCTCCTTGCTGGTAGGTGGCATCATTGTATTCACACAGCACTCTCCTTGTATATAGGCACCTGCTACCAACTTCCTCTTTTTATAAAGACACCAGTCATATTGACCTCAAGGTAACTTGATCACCTCTATAAAGATGCTGTCTTCAAAAACAGTTTCATTCTTGGGTACTGGGGTTTAAGACTTCAACACAGGAATTTTAGGGGATGTACTTCAACCCTAAAGTTTGTTATATCATAAGTATACTTCACCTGGGAAAATATATTTATGATCCAACTGAAAGCAAGATATGATATAATTCCAAGGAGTGGGTTTTTCATTAACTCATTCATTATAGGGCACAAAATATAGTAGAGAATACATAAATGTCTTAGGATTATGTGATTTAAGGGACACGTATTCTTCCTTTTCCTTCTCTGAGTGTGTTTCATAACTAAAAAAAAGTTTTAAAAAATGGGCCAAGGATTCTCCACTTCTAGTTTGCTGGTGACCAGAGGTTGGGAACTAGGTTGGATTTCGATGAAATAGCCTCTTGCGAAACAGCAAATGCACTTTACAAATAAGGAGAATTGTTTTTAGAGAGCAAACAGTCCTGTCTAATGTTTAATAGACATGCTCCATTTCTCCAAAAAGAGCCCAGTCTCTCCAGAACAATCTGGGAGGGGCGGGGGGGGGTTGTCCTGGTGTCCCAGGTGGCGGGTGATGGAGGAGCCGGAGTTCTGCACGTGGGGGACGAAGGTCTCACGCTGCAGGGTTTCCCGCTCACGAAATGACCCTGAGTGGTCAGAACCTGTCTTCTCCTCCGTAAAGCTGCACTGTTGGGACGCACCTCGCAGAGCCACAGTGAGGTTCTGCCTGTCATGGTATGGGAGAAAATGCTGTATTTTGAACACTTGTATTTCGGAATCTCCTTTAAAGCTTCCAGCACATTCTTTTGATTATCCTCAGTGCTGGCAAAACATTTTCACTTAAAGAGGGTTTTGATTTGGGGAAGCAGCTGAGAGCTGTGTGCAGCCAGCTCTGGCAACTGGAGCGATCACACTGAGTAGAGCCATTTGAAACACAGAAGGAGGTGGGCTCCAGCCCCGCTGCGGCCTTGTCCAGTGTGGACACCGCGCAGGCTACAGAGCACCCAAAACGTGGCTGAGCAGAACTTTGACGTGCTTAAGTGCAAAATGCACAGCAGACTTTGGAGACTTTAAGGACATAAAATAGGCCAGGTGCGGTGGCTCCCGCCTGTAATCCTAACACTTTGGAAGGCTGAGGCAGGAGGATCACTTGAGGCCAGAAGTTCAAGACCAGCCTGGGCAAAAAAGTGAAACCTCATCTCTACAAAAAATAAAAAAATTAGCGGGACCTGGTGGCATGTGCCTTTAGTCCAGGCTATTTGGGAGACTGGGCAGGAGGATTCCTTGAGCCCAGGAGTTTCAGAATACAGTGAGCTGTGATCACACCACTGCACTCTAGCCTGGGTGACAACCTGTCTCTAAAAAAAAAAAAAGAATGTAAAAGATTTCATTAATAATTTTTTCAGGCTGGGCACGGTGGCTCACGCCTGTAATCCCAGCACTTTGGGAGGCCGAGGCAGGCGGATCACGAGGTCAGGAGATCGAGACCATCCTGGCTAACATGGTGAAACCCCATCTCTACTAAAAATACAAAAAAATTAGCCGGGCATGGTGGCGGGCGCCTGTAGTCCCAGCTACTCGGGAGGCTGAAGCAGGAGAATGGCGTGAACCTGGGAGGCGGAGCTTGCAGTGAGCCGAGATTGCACCGTTGCACTCCAGCCTGGGCTACAGAGTGAGACTCCGTCTCAAAAAATAAAAAAAAAATAAAGAAATAATGTTTTCATATTGACTATATGCTGAAATAATAATATTTTGGATATATTATGCTAAAAATTATTAAAATTAATTTCACTTTTTTTTTTTTTTTTGCTTACCAGAAAATTTAAAATTGTATCTATGTCTCCTGCAGTGTTTCTGTTGGACATGGCTGGTCTAGAGGACGGCGAGCAATTTTCTTGCAGGGCTTATTAACTGACCTTGCAATTCTTGAAGAATTCTTGAATTCTTAAACTATTCTGGATAACATTAGAACAGAACATAGCTTTTCCATGTGATTATTGGGAAGGACAATATGTTTTTTGATTTGTAGTTTGCAGTGTGATTTTTTTAATTAAGTTTCGTCACTTGGTTGTCATATGCCCCTGTGTGGGATGAAGTGTTTAGGCCAAGAGTGGCCAGAAGGCTTCCTGGAGAGGTTGGCAGAGAGCTGGTTTGGATAGGTGGAGAAGAATCCCCTGGATTTGGTCAGATGGTCTATGCCAGGGCACTGCCATCTGCAACCCACAGGCCAAAGCCAGCCTTCCACCTGTTTTGTACAGCCTGTGAGCTAAGGATGGTTTTTACTTTTTTTTTTTTTTTTTTTTTTTGAGATGGAGTCTTGCTCTGTCGCCCAGGCTGGAGTGCAATGGAGCGATCTAGGCTCACCACAACCTCTGCCCCCTGGGTTCAAGCGATTCTCCCGCTTGAGCCTCCCGAGTAGCTGGGATCACAGGCATGCACCATCACGCCCGGCTAATTTTGTATTTTTAGTAGAGATGGAATTTCTCCATGTTGGTCAGGCTGGTGTCGAGCTCCCGACCTCAGGTGATCCGCCCACCTAGGCCTCCCAAAGTACCAAGATTACAGGCGTGAGCCACCGCGCCTGGCCGGTTTTTACGTTTTTTAAGGGGGTTGAAAAATGGAAAGAATTCTTTTTGAGACACGTGAAAAATGATCTAGAATTTAAGCTTGAGTGTCTGTCAGTAAAGCTTCACTGTCACAGTCATGCCCATCATTTACTGTCTGTGGCTGCTCCTGCACTCCAAGGGCCGAGTTGAGTGGTCACGACAGAGACTCTCCGGCCCAGAGAGTCCAAAGCATTTACTCTCTGGCCTTTTGCAGAACAAGTTTGCTGACCCCTGCACCAAGGGGTCGACTTTCTTCTGCAGCCTTCATTGGACATGTTGAGGGAGCCTAAAAAGGGGTGGGCTAGGGAGAGCTGAGTGGATGAGGGCCCTGGAGACGGTTGAGATCAGGCAGAGGGCGTCTGTGGCTCAAGGCTGAGGAGGTGAGGATCTGAGCTGGGTCCCCACCCCCAGAACTGGTGATTTTCACAAGTGATGTTGACGTCGGGATCTCTGAGATGGGGAGATGGGGGTGATGGATCTGTCAGAGGAAAGACATGGGAATGGGAAGGCCACTCCTGGGCTGGCTGGAACATCTTTGGAATATTGTGCTTGGGAAGTCAGCAGCCATGGAGACAATTGGAAATACACAAACAGGGCTGGGGGAGGCTGAAGCATGGAGGGGGTCAGAGGAGAGGAACCCAGAGAGGCAGAGAGCGCTGAGCCGCCTGGTCCTGGGATGGTGGCCATCACCACTGACATCTGCCCCCTGCCTCCTGCCAGGCTGGGAGCCAGTTCTGCTGAGCCAGTGGGGACCCCTCCACCCACCCACCCACCCTCTGTCCCAGAGCCTAGCCAAGTGCTGGAGGTGAAAGGGACTTGATTTAGGGACCACCCTCAACCAGCTCTGGATCTTTGGAGAAATGTAAAAAATGCAGAAAGTTCAAAGAACAAGATCATATACCCGGAGACCCTCCACTAATAGATAATTTTTAACTTTTTTATTGTGGTAAAATACATATAACATAAAACTTACCACTTTAACCATTTTTAAGTATCAGGTTCAGCGGCATTGAGTACGATCATGTTGTAGAGCCGCCGCCACTGTCCACCTCCAGGACGCTTTCATCCTCCCAAGCTGAAGCTCTGTCCCCCTTAAACATGACCTCCCTATTCCCCCCACCTCACCCCCTGGCACCCACCATTCCACTTCCTGTCTCTGTGAACCTAACTGCTCTAGGGACCTCACACGAGTAGAATCCTACAGTGCTTGTCTCTTGTGACTGATTTGTTTCACTTAGCGCAATGTTTTCGGGGTTCATCCATGCTGTAGCAGGCGTCAGACTTTCTTTTCAAGGCCAAATAATATTCCATTATACTACATTTGGTTTATCCACTCCCAGTTACTAATTCTTTTTTTTTTTTTTTTTTTTGAGATGGAGTCTCGCTCTGTCACCCAGGCTGGAGTGCAGTGGCGTGATCTCGGCTCACTGAAACCTCCACCTCCTGGATTTAAGCGATTCTCCTGCTTCAGCCTCCCATGTAGCTGGGACTACAGGCACATGCCACCACACCTGGCTAATTTTTGTATTTTTAGTAGAGGCGGGGTTTTGCTATGTTGACCAGGCTGATCTCGAACTCCTGACCTCAGGTGATCCGCCCATCTCGGCCTCCCAAAGTGCTGGGATTACAGGTGTGAGCCACCGCTCCCAGTCAGAATTTCCTTTCTTTTAAGGCCAAATAATATTCCACTGTACCACATTTGGTTTATTCACTCCCAGTTGCTAATTCTTATCATGTTGGCTTCAAGTCTTTTCTTCCTTCAAAGAGGTGAAGGTGAAGCCCCTCTGTGGCTGTCGTCTCCCAGCCCCCTGACCTCTGCAGACTTTTGTGAAGCCGGCCTGCACGCAGCCCAGCTGTGGTCAGAGTCCTGGACATCCCCCATCAGTGATCAGGATGCAGCGTGGCTCTGTGCCTGTCTTTTATTTTTTTTATTTATTTTATTTTTTTGAGACGGAGTCTCACTCTGTCGCCCAGGCTGGAGTGCAGTGACTCAATCCCAGCTCACTGCAACCTCCACCTCCCGGGTTCAAGCAATTCTCCTGCCTCACCCTCCCGAGTAGCTGGGATTATAGGCTCGTGCCACCACACCCGGCTAACTTTTTTTTCTATTTTTAGTCAAGACGGGGTTTTGCCATGTTGGCCAGGCTGGTCTCGAACTCCTGACCTCAGGTGATCCACCTGCCTCGGCCCCCCAAAGTGCTTGGATTACAGGCATGAGTCATTGTGCCCAGCTGTGCCTGCCTCTTCACTGACACGGTCGTTCCTTGGCGTGGCTTGGTGTGTGTGTTTGTGAGCTCCATGTGTGTATAGAAGTCTAGTTGGTTCTCATCTGCTATCTAGAGGTTTGGTGGTTTCATTTTTGTTGGTAGAAACTGGCTGCAAAGCATTTGATTAGGTGTTTCCTTGGGTTCCTCCAGGCAGAGTCATCACATGTTTCAGGTCACAGCGCATTATATATACATTTCATACGTCCCAGGTCGTCTTACCCACATGAATGTGTCCTCACGGGGCAGAAGTTCTCTGACCCAGTGCTGAGCCTACCTATGGCCAGGGTTCAAGGGCATTTTCTATTTTTTTTTTCTTTTTTTCTTCTTATGCTGGTGTTGACCCACTAAATTGATTTCAGGATCTATGATAGGGCTGCAAATTGCAGTTTGAAGAACCACCCTCAGGTATTTCCTAAGGGAGGAATTTCAGGGGGCTTTGGGCCTTCTCAGTGGTGCCAGATTCTGCCATGTTGCTCCCGCATTGGAGGAGACAGGACTGGTGACAGCTCCCCTTTCCCTCATCCTCAGTATTTTTTGACTTAAAATTGCTTTTTGCTGGTTTGTTGGGTGTTGAATTTTTGTTTGGAACTGAGAATCTCTTTACATATTTATCAGTTCTTTGGTTTTCCTCTTGTGTGGAGCACCCATTTTTTTCTGTTGAGATGTTGCTCCTTTTCACCATGAATTTATAGGAGTTCTTTATATATTCTGTATACTAATCCTTTAGTTTATAAATTTTCCTTCTTTCTTTTTTTTTGAGACAGAGTCTCGCTCTGTTGCCCAGGCTGGAGTGCAGTGATGTGATCTCAGCTCACTGCACCCTCCGCCTCTTGGGTTCAAGCGATTCACCTGCCTTAGCCTCCCGAGTAGCTGGGACTGTAGGCGCCCGCCACCGCACCTGGCTCATTTTTGTATTTTTGGTAGAGATGATGTTTCACCATGTTGGCCAGGCTGGTCTCGAACCCCTTACCTCAAGTGATCTGTCTGCCTCAGCCTCCCAGAGTACTGGGATTACAGGCGTGAGCCAGTGCGCCTTGCCTGTTTATTTCTTTTTAATGAATTAGAAGGGCTCATTTGTGCTGATGCAGGTGGGAAACTGAGAAAAGAAAACGTTTTTTTTTGTGAAAAAAACGTTTTTGTGGAGGTTTTTGTGAAATTGCTAAGGTGGGAACAGAGTTTCTGTAGCTTAGTGGTTCTCCTTGGGAGGGATTTTGCCCTCCAGGGCACATTTGGCAAAGCCTGGAGATGTTCTAGTTTTCGTACTGGGAAGGGAGGTGCTGGTGGCATCCACAGGTTGAGGCGAGGGACGCTGCTCAGCCTCCTGCGATGGACAGGGTGGCCTGGCCAAGATGGAGAACGTGGCCTACCCTGTACAGAGCTGTTCACCAGCAGGACACGCTCCTGTGGTTAACCAGAACCCACCGGGTGCCGAGGCGACACGTACTGCTGTGAGACAGAACGCAAGTCCACAACCTTGACCATCTCCTCTCTCTTCCTCCCCCAGGCAGGTCTTGACGAGCCCTGCCCGGGCCGACGCATGCGGAGGATGGAAACACTTGCCCGGCAATGTCTCTGGGCCGCCTCCTTCGCAGGGCCTCCTCCAAAGCCTCGGACCTCCTGACCCTCACCCCCGGTGGCAGCGGCAGCGGGTCCCCCTCTGTCCTGGATGGAGAGATCATCTACTCCAAGAACAATGTCTGCGTGCACCCGCCGGAGGGGCTGCAGGGGCTGGGGGAGCACCACCCAGGTGAGCCAGGGCAGGCGAGGCTCCAGGGTCGCACAGCCCAGGTTATTTTCCGAGCCAGGGCTCTAAAGGCCCTGGGCCACAGCACGTGAGAGTGCATTTGGTTCCTCTTCCAGAACGTGTAACTAACAGCAGCTGTCCTCCCGGAAGGAGGGTCTGGGGGGTGTTAAGTCTGGCTCATGGCAGGCTGGGTGAGTCCCTCAGCCCTGCTGCTTCCAAAGGGAGGGACAAAAGATGGGTTAGTGATCCCTCAGGCCTGCCTGGCCCCTTGTCATTCGTGTGAATGACTTGCAACAAATAAATGCATTGCTTTGTTCATCTGTTGCTTTATTTAATTTGCACAACAACCTCATGGGAGTGGCCAGGGCCCCAGCAGGCCTCTTAGGTGGGTAAGGACGCTGGTGTTCAGAGAGGCTGAGCGACTCTCGGCTGCACAGTGCCAGTGTGTGGTGGAGGTGGGGCTGCAGGGCAGTCTCTGGACTCTCTCTTCTCATTTCTTCCTGTTGCCGTCCCCTTCCCTGGCTGCTAAAAGGATGTTTCAGGGCCCCAGTGTCCTGCAGCCTGGCTGTGGCCTGCCCCGGCACACCCTAACATTTGCTTGGCTTGGGCAAGAGTACAGACAGAAGTCCCAGACAAGATGGCAAAATAGTAAAGTTGTCATCTGGGCGAGGTGGTTCACACCTATAATCCCAGCACTTTGGGAGGCTGAGGTGGGAGGATTGCTTGAACCCAGGAGTTTGAGACCAGCCTGGGCAACAGAGTTAGATTTCATCTCTATTAAAAAAAAAAAAGTTATAAATTACAGTGAGATCTGGGCACTTTATGCAGATTATGTTTCAATCGAATACTGAATAAATAAATTTTTAAACAAGACAAAAGTTTAAATTATGCCAATGAAACATTTAAAGAGAGTGTTCTGTCCCCCTGCCTTGATAAGTGTATCTTTATAGCCACCGGCTGGTTGGCTGCGGCTGTGTGGGCAGGGGCTTCCCTGGAGTGCCCTAGAAAGGGGTGCAGGTTCTGGGCGATGCGGCCCCTCGACCCGGAGGTTGCCTGGCCTGAGGGTGTTCTAGAGAGAGAGACCAGGGAGTAGCCACCTCGGACCCTCTTGCCGATCTCAAAGGATGTGGAAACACTTCTCAGCCTCAGGCTCATGTTATCCTAATGCCCAGCTGGCTGACATTCCCCAAATTTCCCAGCCTGTTTTGGCAACAGGAGCAGTGCTTAGGAGATTCTAGGGGTCTGAGTTGTAGAGGCCTGGAGAGTGGGTGGGGGAGGCCCAGGAATCAGGATATCCTGAAACTGCGTGGTGCTGGGTTAGGAAATGCCACCTCCCCCCAGAACTGAGCACCCACCCACTTGCTCTGGCCCAGGAGAAATCCCTCCTCCCATGTCACCAGCAACCCCGTGTGTGACATCAATGCTCATCTGCAAAGGTGGCCCCTTCCTCAAACAATCTGCATTAAAAAAATGCCATGAGTGCCACTGATGATTGGAAAAGGCCCAAATACCACCCAGCTTGGATGAATTTTTTTTTTTTTTTTGAGACGGAGTCTCGCTCTGTCATCCAGGCTGGAGTGCAGTGGTGCAATCTCGGCTCACTGCAAGCTCCGTCTCCTGGGTTCACGCCATTCTCCTGCCTCAGCCTCCCAAGTAGCTGGGACTACAGGCGCCCACCATCACGCCCGGCTAATTTTTTGTACATTTAGTAGAGACAGGGTTTCACCATGTTAGCCACGATGGTCTCGATCTCCTGACCTCGTGATCCACCCGCCTTGGCCTCCCAAAGTGCTGGGATTACAGGCGTGAGCCATCACGCCTGGCTGTATGAATTCTTTTTGTGAAACAGAATGAAGTCTCCAGCCTCCATCCCTCCTAACAGTGCTGTAAAGCCATGAAGCTGGGCACCTGGGCCGCTGGGCTCACACAGACAGGGAGGCTGCAGGCAGGTGAGCCCTGGGGCCAGGGTCAGGGCTCTGAACACAGGGAGAGCCCCTGGTGTACTTGGAAAGGTGCATGGCAAGCCTGAGTTCGTGGCTCATCGCCTGTAATCCTAGCACTTTGGGAGGCTGAGGTGGGCGGTTCGCTTGAGCTCAGGCGTTTGAGACTAGCCTGGGCAACATAGTGAAACCTTATTTCTACCAAAAAAAAAAAAAAAAAAATTAGCTGGGTGTGGTGGTGTGCACCTGTAGTCCCAGCTACTCGGGAGCTGAGGTGGGAGGATTGCTTGAGCCTAGGAGGTGGGGGTTGCAGTAAGCTGAGATTGTGCCACTGCACTCCAGCTTGAGACACAGAGCGAGACCCTGTCTCAAAGAAAAAAGAAACAAACCCAAAAACCAAAAAGAAAGGCGCATGGCAGGCCGGTGCTTGGGGACCAGTGCCCCCTGGATCTGCCGGAAGTGTGTGTTCTTAAAAAACACGCATAGCTGGAATTCATTTCAAGCTCCACAGTTTCCCTCTAGTGTTTTTGCTCAGGGCCAGGCTGTATCTGAGGCCGGACTGGCACTTTACTAAAGGGCAGTGGCCTCTCCGAGCAGCTCGCCAAAGGTACCACAAGGGCCTCATCCACAGCCTCCTGGCCTCTAACGTGCCATCCCCCTGGCTCCTCACAGGTTACCTGTGCTTGTACATGGAGAAGGATGAGATGCTGGGAGCCACCCTCATCCTGGCATGGGTCCCCAACTCTCGCATCCAGAGGCAGGACGAGGAGGCCCTGCGCTACATCACACCCGAGAGCTCCCCCGTTCGCAAGGCACCCCGCCCTCGGGGCCGGCGCACCCGGAGCTCAGGAGCCTCCCACCAGCCCTCCCCGACGGAGCTGCGGCCTACCCTGACCCCCAAAGATGAGGACATCCTGGTGGTGGCCCAGAGTGTTCCAGACCGCATGCTCGCCAGCCCTGCGCCAGAGGATGAGGAGAAGCTGGCGCAGGGCTTGGGGGTGGATGGTGCCCAGCCAGCCTCGCAGCCTGCTTGCAGCCCCTCCGGGATCTTGTCGACGGTCAGTCCGCAGGATGTCACCGAGGAGGGGCGGGAGCCGCGGCCCGAGGCCGGGGAGGAGGATGGCTCTTTGGAACTGTCAGCCGAGGGCGTGAGCAGAGACAGCTCCTTTGACTCAGACTCAGACACCTTCTCCTCGCCCTTCTGCCTCTCGCCCATCAGCGCGGCGCTGGCCGAGAGCCGCGGCTCCGTGTTTCTGGAAAGTGACAGCAGGTGAGTTCCTGGTTCTGGGCGTGGGCTCTCGGGAGGCCCCCAAGGCCTGACCTGGGCAGGAAGCACTCACCTGCGTCACCTGTGATGCCAGGTGAGCGCTGGAGGCATCTGCCCGACCTGCCCGCGGCTGTGGCCGTGGCTGTGGCAGGAGCCCCTCCCTGAGGCAAGGGCTTCAGCAGGGAGTCCCCACTTTACACCCCACTGAGAGGACTGTGAAGGGTGCGTCGGGGTGTCCACATTCTTCTCTCTCCTTGAGACTCACTAGGACTAAACAGGCCCTACCAGGTCTGATGGGCCCATGACCAAGGCTAAGCCCCCGGGAGTCCTGGTCCCTTCTGTTCCCATCACCGGAGGGGCAGGAGATTTTCAGTCCCCAAGCGAGTGCCCAAGAGGCCCGGGTGGCATCATTAGGCTCACGCACAGGGCTGGCCCAAGCCCAGATGTGCTGGTCTCCAGCTCCCCGCTCTGCCCTGCAGCCCACTGGGCACGTGACCTGGCCCCCTGTGGTCCCCGGAGGCTTCAGCCTCCCTCTTTCTCATAGCTGTGGAGGATGGATGTAGTCCCGGGGCAGTGTTGACCATATTCACCCGACTTGGCAGCCGCTATGCACCCTGGGGAGTCCAGCCAGAGTATCTGGACTCCTTGCTGGCCACACTTGCAGGAGCTAGAGTTGGGCCCGTGCCCTGCGGTGGGTTCCCTGGGCCTTGGAACCCAAAGAGACCTTCCTGAGTGGGGAGGGTTGCATGGTGCCACGAGGGCCCTCATGGCCTTGGGGTGAGTGCCCGTGTGGTCGCATAAGCCCGGAGCCCCAGAGCCAGCACAGGGGGCCTGCATCCGACTTCCACAGCCCCTTCCTATGCCCCGGCTGTGGTCCTTACGCTCATTAGATTTCTGGGCAAATAATGGTGGTGACCACAGACAACAGTAAGAGCCGACATCAGTCAGCGAGCAGGTCATTAACTGTTGAGCTCGTGGTGTGAGCCGGGCGCATGCTGGACGTGGGTGGTCTGGGTCTCGCCTGGGCGCTGGACACCGTGGGCTATGGATGGTACGTGTGTGCTTTCCACAGCCCCACGCCCCGTGAGGTGGGCCCTCCTATTATCCCCTGCTATCGAAGGGGAAAGGGCGGCTCGGAGAAGGTCAGCAGCTTGCCAGGGGTCTCCCAGCCAGTGCCCGGGCCAAGCTGGGATGTGAACCCAGCTGGGTCTGCCCCAGGGCTGCAGCATAAAAGGTCACCCCAGGCCGATTAAGCCGGGGAGTGGTGGGGCATGAAGTAAGGACACAGGCTTTGCTGGCCTCAGCAGGGGTGACTGTGGGACGGGTTCTTCCCTGATTTTATCCCTCCAGTAAAGATGCAGTCCATTAGAGCCCCAGGGTGAACCGATAACATTCATCTCAGTTATTGGAGAGTGCAGATAAAAGGAAGCCGTGAGCCGTAACTGAGGACTCCAGGTGCCAGGAGGCTTGCTGAGCTGGGTGGCGTCAGGCGCCAGGGAACCCGAGGAGGTGTGGGGGAGGCGGGGCCCGAACTCTGGTCCTGGCCTGGGTCCCGCAGGCCGGACTCAGTCGGAGCTCCCCCTGGTGGTGCCAGGCCAACAGTGCAGCAGAACCTGCAGGCGTCCCCGTGTCCCTGCATCCCCAGGGCCCAGGCGAGGGGAAGGTCCCAGTTGTGTCTCAGAGAGGTGGTGGGGTTGGCCCACGGTCTTGGGGCTGAGGATTCTGTGGCAGAACCACAACCAGAAGCTGGCCGGTCAGCTCTCTGTCCCGCAGCCCCATCTCGTAGGGAGCTCAAGTTTAGGAGTTAGGGAGTTGAGTGCCGGTTGAGTCCTGGCATCACTGGTTAGTGTGAACCTGGGAAATTCTTTCTTTTCTTGGAGCCTCGGTTTCCCTGTTTGTAAGATGAGGCTGGTAATATCCACTTTCTGGGGGTATTGTGAGAATGCACCCCGGTTCGCTTTTCCCCGCCCTTCGCCTTGCTGGTTCTTCAACCTGGCTGCATGTGGGGGTTCCTGGGGGAGCCTTTAGACGCTGATGCCCAGGTCCCTCCAGGTTCTTCTAGAGCAGTGATTCTCACCCGGGGCCGAGTCTGTGCCCAGGGGGTGTATGGCAATGCCAGGAGACACTTTTTTTTTTTTTTTATCACAACTGAGGGTGGGGATGTATTGGCATCAGTGGGCAGCGGACAGGCGTGCTGTGCACTCACTCTGGAAGCCAGGCTGTCCCTCTGCCTGGGACCCACCGGGGGCCGCCCATCATTTTCAGGATGAAGCACCATCTCCTTCACTCGGGGTCCAAGGCCCATCACCATCTGGCCCTGCTGAGCGATGCTGCCTGCCTCCCCACCCCCCACTGTGCACACCTCCAAGTTCGTCGTCCTCTCTGCCTCTAGATCTTGTGGGGCTCTCTCTGCCTCATGCCTTTGGCTAGGGATCCCCTCTACCTAGGCTTCCTCCTTCCCCTCTCTCCTAACCGGCCAGCTTATATGTTTGAGACTCAGCTCCTGGGGCGAGGCACCTTCATGTCAGCTTTTGGGGGAGGCTTCTCTATTCCCCCGAACCCTGGGCTGAGGAGGGCCCTCCCCATGGCCCCCTTCTCTGCTCTGACACTCGAGTCCCCACTGAGACACCCTGTCCGCCTGTCCGTCCCCAGCTGCTGGGAGGCAGATGGTGGTGAAGGAGTAAATTTTGGGGTCCGACAGATCTGTTTCCAGTCCTGGCATCATCCTGAGTTATGTGTGATCTTGTGGCCATTACCTCCCACATCCAAAACGCAGATGCCTCACGGGTGTGAAGTGCGGCCAAGAACCCCCTTGTAGGGCAGAGTCGGCGTGAGGGTTGAGCACCAGCCTGGGGTATGGGGTCAGCGAGCCTGGCCTGGGACTCGTCCCCACCCGGAGACCGTGCTGGGGGGTGCTTACCACAGCCCGGCCCTGCTCCTGATGAAGGCTCAGAAAATGCCTCTTGGCCACATGGCCGCGGGCTCGGTGTGGCTCGCACCTCAGGCCTGTGTCAGCCCGGTCCAGGGGAGGCTCGCTGAACGTGGCGAGTTGCAGCTTTGTGCTGGGACGAGGTGGATGTGGATGGGACTCTCCCCACCCCGCCAGAAGCGTGTGCTTCAGTGCAAGGCTGGAGTGAAAACAGCCTGTCTCCAAGACAGACTGCTGAGAGCTTTCTTTTTATTTTTAAAAAGTAGATATGGAGGCCGGGCACTGTGACTCACGCCTGTAATCCCAGCACTTTGGGAGGCCAAGGTGGGTGGATTGCTTGAGCCTAGGAGTTCAAGACCAGCCTGGGGAAAATGGCAAAACCTCATCTCTATAAAAAATACATAAAAATTAGCTGGGCATAGTGGTGCATGCCTATGGTCCCAGCTACTCAGGAGGCTGAGGCAGGAGGATGGCTTAAGCCTGGGAGGTGAAGGCTGCAGTGAGCTGTGATCATGCCACTGCACTCCAGCCTGGGTGACAGAGAGATACTCTGTCTGGAAAAAAAAAAAGAAAGAAAGAAAAAGAAAAGCAGACATGGATTCTGAAAGGGGCTGGGCGAGCCCTGGAATCTGCATTTCCCTGGTCTTTCCTTGCTCCTGTGCGCTTCTGGCCCCCACCACATGGTAGACCCAGGAAGCAGAGGTGGTGCTCCTTGCCCCATCCCCATCCCCCGGGGCCTTCGTATGATGGGACTGGAGATCCTTGGCTAAGGTGGTTAATTGTCCTAGACGCTGTAGAGCAGGCGTCCCCAGCCCGGCTGCCCATGAGAATGCCCTGGGCAGCTTTAAAAATCCTGATGCCCAGGCTGCACCCAGACCAATTAAACTAGGATCGCTGGGGTGGCGCCCAGGCATGGGAATGTTTTGAACTTCCTGGGGGTTTCTGAAGTGCACGTAGCGTTGAGAACCCCTGCTGTGAAGGGGCTGAGAGAGAGAGAGAGAGAGAGAAAGAAAGAGAGAAAGAGAGCGAGAGAGCGAGAGAGAGCGAGAGCGCTCCTGGTGCTCTGGGGTGGGGAGGGGTGTCAGGGCCGAGGACCCCAGATGACTGGCCATCCCGCCAGGCAGGGGTGTTGGTGAGGACTCGGGTGCACCCATCGCCACTCTGAGCGGTGGGGCGTCTATTAATAATTAACCCGGAGTTGAGTCCCCCCGGAGGGCAGAGCAGGTAGGCTGGCTCGAGGGTCCCCTCTAGTGGTGGATCTGAAGAACTGCATGTGCAGGCTGCGTGTCTGGCTGAGATTGGCCAGGAGGGACAACTCCCCCACCCCACCCCGGGGGCCTAGGGTCCCCCAGGTATATGGTTATTTGGCAAGTAGTTCACAGAAGAGCTTAGGGGTTAGAAATGGCAGTATCCCCCGGGCTGCCCACATTCGTGTGCTACCTGTAGAGTATGGCCAGGTGGGGTCTGCATGCTGGAAGGTGAGCCCACCTACTAAACCCAGAGGTCTCCTTTGGAAGCCCCAGGCCCCAGGCCCCAGTCCAGCGACGGCCTGGAAATCCTTGACCAAGTGAGTATTCGAGGCTGACTTGGGGGATGGGGTGATACGGAGAGCTGCTGTCGCCAATGCGTCGTCCTGCCTCCCCGCCCTGAGACCCCAAGACCCTGAGCTTCCCCGAGCCGGGGGTGAGCCCTGGGCTATCTTGGTCCTGTGCCCTCCTCAGTGTCAGAAAGCAAGGCTCTCGGGTGTGCTGGGGAGGGTGACCACCAAGCGCGACTGGTCATCCTGCCCTTGGTTTCTGTGCTGGAAGCTACCGTCCAGCCTAAAAGGCCAGTTGGGCGAGGGTGTGGAATAACGGGGCGCCATGGGGCTGGTACCGTGTCCACTGACCCTGCCCCGGGGATGTGCATTGGTGACCTGGATAAAGAACTGAAACAAGCCTGGGCAACATAGCGAGACCCCGTCTCTACCAAAAAGAAAAAAAAATTAGCTGGGTGTGGTGGTGCACACCTTTAATCCAAGCTGCTACTCCGGAGGCTGAGGCAGGAGGACTGCTTGAGCCTGGGAGGTGGAGGCTGCAGTGAGCCATGATCGCACCAGTGCACTCAAGCCTGGGTGACAGAGTGAGACCTTGTCAAAAACAAAAACAACAACAACAAAAACAAGAACAACAAAAACACCAGATTCTGCTCCCTAAGTGAAAATGTCTCCTCTGGACCTCATCCTAAGAAAGAATCCAAATTACAGATAGAAAGGCCAAAGTGGCCGGCACGTGGCTTAAGCCTGTAATTCCAGCGCTTTGGGAGGCTAAGGTGGGCAGATCACTTGAGGTTGGCAGTTGGAGGCCAGCGTGGTCAACACCGTAAAACCCCATCTCAACTAAAAATACAAAAATTAGTTCAGCATGGTGGCACATGCCTGTAATCCCAGCTACTTGGGAAGCTCAGGCACGAGAATCGCTTGAACTTGGGAGGCAGAGGTTGCAGTGAGCCGAGATGGTGCCCCTGCACTCCAGCCTGGGTGACAGAGCTAGACCTTGTCTCAAAAGAAAATAAAAGTAGAAAGACAAACGCTTCTGCATGAAGATGTTCATCGTGGTATTCCTTACAGTGGGGAAAAAGGAGCAGAACATAAGAATCCAACGGCAGAGGAGGTGGACCGACTAAGGTCCCTCTAAGGTCCCTCTGTTGGATCAGGGAGTTTTCAAACCTGGGCTCACGAACCCCTGAGATCTTACCCCACTTTTTTTTATATGAGGAGGAGGCACCATCTGACTTCCCAGAAGGTCTGTGACCTGTAAAACGTTCAGAAGCTCGGTGCTGCCAGATAGGAGAAGATGTGGTATTGACAAGGACTGTCAAATGGTCCATGCAGTGTTGCAGTGTGGAAATTTAGAGTGAATCAGACGCAAAGCAGGAAACGGGTTATGATTCTGCCCGTTGCAGTTAAACTCTGTGAAGAGGCCTGAGGTGCAGATGAGGCTCTCAGGGCAGGGCTGCCCAGCAGAGCTTCTGCCAGGGCAGACAGAACCCAGGTCTGCGCCGTCCCGCACTGCGGCCACTGGCTTCATGCAGCTCTTGAACCCTTGAAATGGCGCAAGTGCAACTGAATTTTTAATTTTACATAATACGGATTAATAAAATTGTTTTTAATTTTAAAATGTTTTTAAGTTTCGTTTTTAGAGACAGAGTCTCACCGTATTGCTCAGGCCGGCATACGGTGGCGGCAGCACAATCACAGCTCACTGCAGCCTCCACCTCCCGGGCTCGAGCGATCCTCCCACCTCAGCCTCTCAAGTAGCTGGGATTGCAGACATGCACCACCATGCCCCGTTCATTTATTTTATTTTTTAGAGACAGACTCTTGCTCTGTTGCCTAGGCTGGTCTCAAACTCCTAGGCTCAAGTGACCCTCCTGCCTGGACCTCCCAAAGTGCTGGGATTACAGGCATGAGCCGCGTGCCCGGCCCTGATGAATATAAATGTGGATAGCGCCTGTGGTCAGTGGCCACGGCAGTGGATGGCAGAGGTTGAGAGGAAGGTGTGCCCACGTGTTAGCCTAGTGTGATTATGAGCACTTTTTTTTTTTTTTTACTTTTCTGTTTTCAAAAATGTTATTCTGTGATTATATTAAGCTTAGAATGAAAACCAATGTATAAAAATAGACAGAAGGGGAGAACCTGCACATTTGGGGACGCTAAGCATCTCCCACTGCGCTGCACGCTGCTAACTAGTGAAGAGGCCTCCAGGGCGAGCTGGTCACTGAGGTCCTTCCAGTGACACCAGTGCCGCCGGCCTGCCACCTTGGGTCCCGTGCCGCCAGCGGGGCCTCCCCCTGGGGAAGTGAGTGTTTCGTTCTCTCTCTCCCTGGGTCCTCTTGTCATTCCCGGCATGCGTTCCCGGGGTGGCCAGCCTAGGCAAGATGGTGTTTGGGTGTTGGGATGGGCTGGGTGGCCTGGCCTCAGAGTTTGGCCACTTGTTACTGTGGTTTCTGTCATGCAGTTCCTGCCAGGTCAGACTCAGTCCAAGCGGGTTGGCGCGGCCACAGGTGGGCAAGGGCCAGGAGCAATGTGCTGCCCACCTGGGGGTGCTGCCGGGACCCCCTGCCCTCCCACTTTCCTCTTGCCCTTTCCTGCACACACACTGGGCACTTCACCCCAAGCATAGCCGCTTCCCACCTTGCTGCCCGCAGCTGGAATGTTCTCCTCTCTCCTGCTGAATCCCCAGCCCACCTGCAGGTGGAAGAGACTTTCTTCTCCGTGACCCCTGCTGGGACCTGAGCTTTCTCTCTGGAGAGCTCCTATCAAGGCCGCGTGGTGTTCCCTACGTGCGCCACCGTTCCCGGGTGCTTCCTCACAGGGTCCTCCCAGTGCCTGGGCCAGCGCCGTCAGCAGAGCGTCCTGCAGTGCACGCGGTCCTGTGCCTGTGCCCCACTGTGTGTGGCCACCACGCCCTAGAAATGCAGCAGATGTGGCCAAGCAACTGGACTTTGGTCTTTCTTTATCTTCAATGAATGTGAAGTTTGGTGGTCACAGCGGGAGGCCTCCATGCCTGACAGCACAGGTCTGGACGGAATGTTCCTGGGAGGATGGAAGGTGGACCCTAGAAACGTAGCGACCCTCCCAGCAGGACAGGCCCGAAAAACTCTCTGTCCAAAGTAATGGGGGAAAGACGAGATGATAAGACAAGGCCCCTCTACTCCCTCAGGGTGGCCCCTGTCATGGGGGCGATGGCACAAGGGTTCACCTGGAGCTGGCCAGTGCTTGGACAGCAGACCCCATGGGGCGGCCGCTCCCCACCTCACATGGCTTCCCTGGCAGGTGCCAGCCCACCCCGCAGGGCGTGCGAGGCAGTAATAAACGGCATCTAAGTGCTTTCTGCCTTTAGGAGGAAAAGGCTCCTTGTCGACCGAGTATCAGCGGCAGCGGCTGAATTATTAACGGCGTTATCGTTCATCGTTGGTGTAATGGCCCCTGTCCTCCTACACGGCACAGAGGACAGAAATGAGGCTCTCGGGGAAGAGTCCAGTCTCTGAGAATGAGCTAGAGCCAGTGCGCTTGGTGGGCCAGGACCCAGTGCTGGGAAGCATCCTTGCAGGAGCTCCCACGGAAGGCCCTGGGGGTGTCGCCCTGGACTCACAAAGCTCTGCTCGTTCCGGATCCCTTCTGCGTTTCCTGCCGTTCCTTTTCTGCCCAACCCTCCAGGCAAGCCCGAGGAGGATTAGAAACTCCTGGAGGTGGGCGAAGAAGTGAGCGGTGGCACACGAATCAGGACACACTTTGCCCTTCCCGTCTTTGTTCCGGGGCGCAGCAGCTGCCCAGCAAATCAGAGCCTGGAGCAGGAGACGGGGACACAAAGCAGGGGATGAGGAAGGGAGCAGGAGGCGGGGGGTGGAGGGAAGGGCATGTGAGAGGGTCCAGGGCAAGAGACAGCAGGGAAGGGGGCAAGGGGTGAGTGGGGAGGGTGGGCCGTGCGTGTCTTAGGGGCCACTCCAGCAGCAGCAGGGACCAGGGGCAGGTGCAGCACAGATATCCAGGAGCTGCCGCCACCCAGGGGAGGGACAACTGGGTCCCAGAGAGACCTCGGAGGTGGGATGGCCAGGAGCTGGGAGGGCTGCATCCTCCATTCCTCCCAAATTTCAGGATCAAACCCCTGATCCCGGTCGTGGGCCAACCAGGGCGCCCGGGGATACCCCGAGAGCGCCCGCCGCCCCCTGAGGATGCTCCAGGAACCCCCGCCCACCCCTCCGGGCCCAGCGCAGCCTGGCAGCCGGGAAGCCAGCAGCTCCTGAAGGTCTGTTGTTTGGGTTTGTTTGTGCTTCTGTAACCGGGAGCTGAGATTTATTTCTTTAAAACATCCCATTGCCCGACACCCTGCAATCTGTTCTGTGTGTCGTTCAGACTAATCTCGTCTTGTTTCTGTAGCACTTGGCAGGCTCTGTGTGGCGTTCCTCCCTCCCCCAGACTCCCCCCTGCCCAAGCCAAGGTGGCCACCACCAGCTGCTCCGCCTGCACCCAGAGAGTGGCCGATGCCAGGGGTCTGAGGGAAGCTGTTACGGGAAGGGCAGCTGGCTGGTCAGAGCCCCATGAACTGGCATGTGGCCATAGTCAGTCTAGAAATGGCCACAGGACATAGCCTCGCCCCAGCAGTCTCACTGTCAGGCGGAGAAGCCAAGCAGGCGCCCAGCCGAGCACTGGTCCCCTCCCTGGCTGCCCCTCAGCTCTGGGAGCTTGGAGGGGCTGCCAAAGAATTCGACTGGGATGCCACCGTGCCCAGCCCTCTGGTGTGCAACTGTGGCATGGCTGTTTGGCTCACACATGATGTCTAGGCAGAGAAGGGGCTGGCGGGCTTGGTTGGGTGAGGCCTGTAAGTGAGCTTTGGTCAGAGACCCAGCTGTGAATCCAAGCTCCACTCAAGACCCGCAGGGGGTGGCCTTGGACGGTGTTGAACCACTCTGTACCTCAGTTTACTCCTCTGTGAAGTGGGGGCATTGTGGGGGTTCAGGAAGGCCGTGCGTGTAAAGCTCTGCACAGAGGGCTCAGTACAGGGCAGATAGACAGTCATCATCACTGTGTACCTGACTGAGTTGCCAGCCCCGTTGGACGTGCTCGTATCAGTGTCCTGGGGCTGCTGTGACAAAGGACCACAAACCGGGTGCTTGAAACAAGAGAAATGTATTCTCTCACAGTCCTGGAGCCAGAGGTCCAAAATCAAGGTGTCTGCAGAGCCACGCTCCCTCTGGAAGGTCTAGGGGAGGGTCCTTCCTGGTCTCTTCCGGTTTGAGTGGCTGCAGGCATTCCTTGGCTTGTGGCCACATCATTCCGACCCCTGCCTCTGTTGCCACATGGACAGGGTGTGTCCCTTTGTGTGCCCTCTCTTCTTCTCATACGGATGCCAGTCATTAGATAGGGCCTACTCAAATCTAGGGTGACCTCATCTTAGCTTGGTGACATCTGCTGAGACCCTATTTCTGAATAAGGTCACATTGGGAGCTTCTGTGTGGACATGAATCTTGGGGGAGCACTGTTCACCGCGGCATATGCTCTATGGGTGCCAACCTGAATCCCAGAAACAGCTCCCGACATCAGTGTGGTCATCACCCCGTTTTAGGAAAGGGTGACGCAGAGCTCAAGCCTTCAGCACAAGTGATGGCTGAGCAGTGACTCTGGTTAAAAACAAAAAGCAAAAAACCAAACACAATCAGGGCCCTGAGAAACTCCTTGTTTCTGTCATGTCAGTTGCTCCTCATGGCCCAGCCTCGTCGACCCCTAGAGCTGAGCGAGTGAGTCTGGTCAGGAGTCCCAGACAGGTTGCTGGGGCCCCGGCAAAGACACTATAGAAATGGGCTTCCAAAGAGACAAAAGAGATTGTGTTCATTTTAGAAATTCGAGGGTGGCCAGGCCTGGTGGCTCAGGTCTGTAATCCCAGCACTTTGAGAGCCCAAGGCGGGCGGATCACCTGAGGTCAGGAGTTCGAGACCAGCCTGGCCAACATAGTGAAACCCCGTCTCTACTAAAAAGTACTAAAATTAGCCAGGCGTGGTGGTGGATGCCTGTAATTCCAGCTACTCGGGAGGCTGAGGCAGGAGAATCACTTGAACCCAGGAAGCGGAGGTTGCAGTGAGCCGAGATCACGCCACTGCACTCCAGCCTGGGCAACAGAGTGAGACTCCATCTCAAAAAAAAAAAAAAAAAAAAAAAAAAAGAAATTTGGGGGAAAGGCAGAAGGGAAATATTTGTGATCTTTGATCCCTCTGGTGTTGCCGTTATCATTTTGGTTGGTTTTCTTCCTGGACTTTCAAAGTTGGGAATTGTAATTGTCTATTCCAGGGGTTGGCAGGTGGGCCAGACAGCAAGTATTTTCTGCTTTGGGGGCCAGATGGTTTTGGCTGCAGCTTTTCAATTCTGCCCTTGTAGCATGGAAGCCACCACACAATGTATGTTAATTGGCATGGCTGTGTTCCATTAATTTTTTTTTTTTTTGAGACAGTGTCTCACTCTCTCGCCCAGGCTGGAGTGCAGTGGTGTGATCTTGGCTCACTGCAACCTCCACCTCCTGAGTTAAAGCAATTCTCCTGCCTCAGCCTCCCGAGTAGCTGGGACTACAGGTGCCCACCACCACACACGGCTAATTTTTGTATTTTTACTAGAGATGGGGTTTCGCCGTGTTGGCCGGGCTGGTCTCAAATTCCTGACCTCAGGTAATCCCCCCGCCTCGGCCTCCCAGAGTGCTGGGGTTACAGGCGTGAGCCACCGCGCCCAGCCCCATTCACGTTTTATTAAGGATACTGAAAGTGGAATTTCATATAATTTTCATGTGTTGTGAAATATTCTCCTCTGGATTTTTTTCAACATTTAAAAATGTTCAAAACCATCCTTCACATGAAACCTGCACGCAGGTGTTTGTAACCACTTCATTCATACGGGCGCGGTGGAAGCAGTCAGGATACCCTGTGGTGGTGGGTGGATGTGCGAACGGTGGCGCTTCCCTGCAAGGGAATATTGTTTATGGATAAAAGGAAATGAGCTGTCAAGCCTTGAGCAGATGTGGAGGATGCTGAAATGTACATTGCTACGTGGAAGAAGCCAATCTGGGCCGGGTGCGGTGGCTCACACCTGTAATCCCAGCGCTTTGGGAGGCCGAGGTGGGTGATCACTTGAGCTCAGGAGACCAGCCTGGGCAACATGGTGAAACCTTGTCTCTACAAAAAAAAAAAAAAAAAATTATAATAATAATACAAAAATTAGCCGGGCATGGTGGCTCACACATGTAGTCCCAGCTACTTGGGGGGCTGAGGCAGGAGGATTGCTTGAGCCCAGAATGCGGAGGTTGCAGTGAGCTTAGATTGCACCACTGCCCTCCAACCTGGGTCACAGAGTGAGACCCTATCTCAAAAAAAACAAAAAACACCAGTCTGAAAAGGCTGCAAGCTGCATGATTCCAGCTCTAGGACATTCTGGAAAAGGCAAAATTGTGAAGACAGTAAACAGATCAACACCTGCTGGGGGCTCAAGAGGAGAAAAAGATAAATGGGCAGATACTGGATTCCAAAGGCAGCGACACTATTCTTTTTCCTTTTCTTTTCTTGTCTTTTTTTTTTTTTTTTTTTTTTGAGACAGAGTTTTGCTCTTTGTGCCCAAGCTGAAGTGCAATGGCACAATCTTAGCTCACTGCAACCTCCACCTCCTGGGTTCAAGCGATTTTCCTGCCTCAGCCTCTTGAGTAGCTGGGATTCCAGGCTCCCGCCACCACACCCAGCTAATTTTTGTATTTTCAGTAGAGACGGGGTTTCACCACGTTGGCCAGGCTGATCTTGAACTCCTGACCTCAGGTGATGCACCCTCCTTGGCCTCCCACAGTGCTGGGATTACAGGCGTGAGCCACCGCGCCCGGCTGCAGTGACACTATTCTGTGTGAGGCTGCAATGATGGACGCCTGCCACTGTGTCTCTGAAACCCCATAGACTGTACAACACCAAGAGTGAACCTAGTAGAAGCCCTGAACGTCAGTTATTACTGATAATGTATCAATATTGGCTCATCAGTTACAGCAAATGTACCACGCAAATGCAAGACATTAATGGTATGGGAAAGTGTGTACATTGAGGGGAAACTCGCTGTACTCTGCTCAGTTTTTCTGTGAACCTAAAATCGCTCTAAAAAAGAAAGTCTATTCATTTAAAAAAGTCTTCGTTCATGGGCTGTACAGAGGCAGAGGGCAGCCTCAATTTGGCCCTCGGGCCATGGTTTGTGGATCCCCCGGTTTAGGCTAACAGTGCCCAATAGAAATGTAACGTGAGCCACCTCTGTGATTTAAAATTTTCCATTAGCCACGTTTAAAAGTTTTTATTTCGAAGTAACTACAGGAAGTTGCAAAAAAAAAAAAAGTACCGGGAGGCCCTATACACCCTTCACCCACTTCCCCCCATGGTGACATCCTGCATAGAAGCATAGTACACTCTCCAAACCAGGAAATTGAGGTTGGTACAGTCCACAGGTCTCACGGGTATTACAGGCACCCATCTGTGCTTGTGTGTTTAGAATCCTGTGCCACTGGGATACATGTAGCTTCCGGCAACTACTACCACTAGCTAGACGCAGAACCACTCCCCCACCGCAGGGTTCCTCCACGCTGCCCTGGCACAGGGCAACCACTCCTCTGTAAGAATTTTACGTAACTGGAACCCTGCATGATGTCAGCTTTGAGATGGACTTTTTTTGGTTCAGCATCATCCTGTGAAGCTCTATCCAAGCTGTCCTGTGTGTCAAGAACTTGTTCCTTTCTACTGCTGAGTAGCAGCACCCCACGGTCCACGCGCTCACGGACTGATGGACATGAACCATGGCTTCCCATTCAGGGGCGACTGTGAATAAAGCTACTAGGAACATTCATGTGTGGGGTTTTGTTGGAACCTAAGTTTTCGTTTCTCTAGGATAAATTCCCACAAATGCACTTGCCGAGTCATATGTGGATTGATTGTGTGATTAGTTTTTTAAAATACGTTTTTTATCTAGTAAAAATAGAGACAGGGTTTTTGCCATGTTGCTCAGGCTGGTCTCGAACTCCTGGGCTCAAGCAATCCTCCCGCCTCGGCCTCCCAAAGTGCTGGGATTGCAAGCGTGAGCCACCGTTCCCGGCCTATGTGCTTAGTTTTTAAAGCAATTGCTAAACTGTTGCATAGAGTGGCTGGGCCGTTTTACACTCCCACCAGAAATTTACGAGTGCCTTGTTTCTCCACATCCTCATCAGTATTTGAGGTTGTCACTATTATTTTTTTTAAGCATCCTGATGGGTGTGTAGTGACATCTCATTGTGGTTTTAATCAGCATTTCCCTAATGGCTCGTGATGTCGAATATCGTTTTGTGTGTTTATTTGCCATCCAGGTATCTGATTCTTTGGCGGAAGATCTCTTTGTCTCTTAAGCATCTTCTTATATCTTAATAATATATATCGAAAGGCTTATGGGGACAACCTTTGGTTGGAGGATTTTGGAAAAAGTCATAATATGATTTATTGTGGCAACCAGAAGCGATAATATTGTTCTAGTGACAGGTAACAACCTGCTTTTTTATTCCTGTTAATACATGATTTCTTTTGTGACTGTAATAAAACAATGTATACAAACGATTCACTGCAATGAAGACAGATACCCAAAGAGACAAAGAGACATCGTCTAATCCATTTTTTGTTTGTTGACTACTGAGTTTTGAGAGTTGATTATACACTCTAGAAACTAGTCCTTTGCTAGATATGAGGATTGCAAATATTTCTCCCAGTCTGTAGTTCTTTTTTTCATCCTCTTAACAGGATCTTGCACAAAGCAAAAGACTTTAATGTTGATGAAGTCCAGGTTATGAGTTGTGCCTTTTATGAATCATACTTTTCATGTCAAGCTCAAGAACTCCTGACCTAGTCCTAGATCCTGAAAGTTTTTTTCTTTTTTTTTGTTTTTGAGACAGAGTTTCGCTCTGTCGCCCAGGTTGGAGTGCAGGGGCGCGATCTCGGCTCACTGCAAACTCCGCCTCCCAGATTCACGCCATTCTCCTGCCTCAGCCTCCCGAGTAGCTGGGACTACAGGCGCCCACCACCACGCCCGGCTAATTTTTTGTATTTTTAGTAGAGACGGGGTTTCACTGTGTTAGCCAGGATGATCTTGATCTCCTGACCTCGTGATCTGCCCACCTCAGCCTCCCAAAGTGCTGGGATTACAGGCGTGAGCCACCGCGCCCGGCCGATCCTGAAGGTTTTCTCCTGTTATTTTCCTAAAAGTTTTACGGGGTCGAGGTTTATTTATTTATTTATTGCCTATGGATGTGCAATGACTCCCGCGTCGTTTGTTGAAGAGGCTGCTCTTCCTTCATTGAGACGCTTTGCTCTTTTGTCCAATATCAGTTGGGCATATTTGTGTGGGTCTTATAGGTACAATTTTTTTTTTTTGAAACGGAGTCTCAGTTTGTCACCCAAACTGGAGTGCCGTGGTGCGATCTCAGCTCACTGCAACCTCCGCCTCCTGGGTTCAAGCAATTCTCCTACCTCAGCCTCCGGAGTAGCTGGAATTACAGGAGTGCCTCACCACACTCAGCTAATTTTTGTATTTTTAGTAGAGATGGGGTTTCACCATGTTGGCCAGGCTGGTCTTGAACTCCTGACCTCAGGTGATCCGCCTGCCTTGGCCTCCCAATGTGCTGGGATTACAGGCTATGAGCCACGGTGCCCGGCCATAGCTACATTTTTACAAGTCAAAAAACAAAAAGAAAACAAACAAAAAGGTGAAAATTTTTGTAAATTACCCAGCTTGTTCAAAATAGTATCATTCCAATGTGGGATCAGTATACACGGCCGCCGATGGGAAGTGTTTTACATTCTCTCTGTTTACCAAGTCCTGGGAATTTCGCGTGTACTTTACACCTAGACCACGTCTCAAGTGTGATGCCACATGTGGCTTGGGGTCACTGCCTTGGCCAGCACGAGTCTACACAGATTGGCGACCTGCTTTTTTGAAAAAACATTCTCGGCCGGGCGCAATGGCTCACGCCTGTAATCCCAGCACTTTGGGATGCCGAGGCTGGTGGATCACCTGAGGTCAGGAGTTCAAGACAAGCCTGGCCAACATGGTGAAACCCTGTCTCTATTAAAAATACAAAAATTAGCCGGGCGTGGTGGCAGACACCTGTAATCCCAGCTACTTGGGAGGCTGAGACAGGAGAATTGCTTGAACCCAGGAGGCAGAGGTTGCAGTGAGCTGTGATCACGCCATTGCACTCCAGCCTGGGGGACAAGAGTGAGACTTCGTCTCAATAAAAAAATAAACAAAACAAAACAAAACAAAATATTCTCTGGCCAGCCCTTCTTCATGGACTCCCTCTTCCTTTGTCCTTGATGGTTGGGCAGCCTCTAGGAGGAGGGGGTTTCATTGCCTCTTGTCGGGGGTTCACAGCCCTGGCACCCCCCCGGCCCTGAGCTGGGATTCTAGAAGTCACCAGCCAGGTATGTCCCCCAAGGGAGCTGGATTCTAAAGAGATGGGGGCGGAGCCAGTGCATCTGGTGGGCCGTCTTAAACCATGCTGTTATTGACTGTCTTCCGAAGGACTGACAGCTCTTTAAAAAGCTGACCTTTCTAGTAAAACTGTCAGGACAGGGAGGAAATAAGTGCCTCAAACCTCCTGAACCAAAAAGAAGGAAGTTCAGGCTCCTGGAGAGGCAGTGCTCCCCAGGGATGGGCGCTCCCTGCATCAGGAGGGCTGTCCAAGGTCAGGGAAATGAAACTTGTCAGCCTTTTCCACCGCAGCTCAGAAACCATTGACAGCTGCTCCGGGAGGCCTTGACGCAACCCCGGCCGGTGGTTGCATGGGGGCTGGGGGCTCCTGGTGCTCTCGAGGGGCTGAGCTGCTCTGAATACACAGAGCTGCCCTTGGGAGGCTCCCGAGCCCCAGCTCTTGCATCAACAGCCCTGGCAGGGGCCTCACAGGCCACGTGAGCTTCTGAGAGCTCTGAGCATGAGGTCACGGGCTCCCAGAGGCAGTGATGTGGCAGCGCCTGTCTCCCGGTGAGTTGGGGAGCTCACACCGTACCTCTGGGGAACCACGCCTGGCTGTTGCAATGTAACCCAGCACCTGATGAAATCTTCCCTGAAAGTTGCAGGTAGTGGGGGCAAAGGACCTTTTGTCTTGCGGTCGAAAGACTCCCGTAGCTGGTTCTGTTTGGCTTCATATCCTTCCCAGCAGAGTAAACAGAAAGGGCATTTTCACGTGGCTCTTCCTTCCAGTCTGAACAATGTTCCCTAAACACCTGCAAGGCAGAGGACACAGGGCTCCTGGTGCCCGTCCACCTAAGTGCCTCCTGGCCTCAGGGAATCTGCTTTGGGGACCTGAAAGTAAGGTTCCCTGACCATCAAGAACAGACAGACACTCAGCCACACTTCTGGAAACCTCCGCCCTTTGAAAGGGACTGGCTGGTGGAAGCAGGCGGCCTGGGGCATATCCCTGACCTTATTACCCCCAGGTGGTGACAGAGATGATCTTTAAGTGTGGGAGCCTGGAGCCAAGTCCTTGGCCACATCCCAGCTCTGCCTGGCTGTGTGCTGGTGGGTTATTACCCTCATTGCCTCAGTTTCCCCTCTGCACAATGGGGCTGGCGCTAGTGCTCCCCACCCCATAGACTGTCATGAGAAGTAGCATCTGGACAGGCCCTGAGAGCAGTGCCCATCTCTGTGCCATCCGCTGGGACTGGTGTTGGCCTGGTACTGTACCGTCTCACCCTTGTGTCCCCAGGAGGGGAGTGGGGTCGAGACCAGCCCCAGGGGTTACATGGACAATGGGGTTACATGGACAAATGCCTCTTGTTACATTTTGTTCACTGGTTCCCAAAATGAGGTGCAGGCTCTGCAGAGAAAGCAGGCTTTCCCCGAGGGGCTCTGGAGCAGAAAGAGCTGTCTCAAGGTAGGTGCTGGGGCTGGGGTGATGTGAGAGCAGAGTTGGAAGTGGGAATGTTCTGGAAGGAGGGAGAGGGCTAGTGGCAGATATGTGGTCACCGGAGGAGGAGCCCTGCGATATATATCAGGCAGGGACAGGGAGAGGAGAGGCGACCTGGGACCCCGAAAACCGGGTGGGTGGTCGCTGTGGCCTCTCCTGGGAGCCTCGGACTGGCGGTTAGGGCAGACTCCAGTAGATTGTAAAGGCATCAGGATCTGTCTTGCTTCTGTAAATATTTAAACACTGGGAGGATTATTTTTGGTAGCTACGGTCTCTCTCCGAGCCTGGCGGGCTGCCGGGACGGGTGTCAAGTGACATCGGGTGCAAGGATACCCCACCCCCTGGCCCCACCGGCCCCAGGCTCCGTGTGTTCACCTTTCCAACGGCCACAGTTTGATGTGGGTCACGGTTTCCCCTTCTAGGAGACGCAGAGAGATGGTCTCGGGCGCGACCAGCAGGGATTCCTCGTCCACACAGTTTCCTGACAGCGGTTGAAAGGGACGGGTCTACGCAGGCCAAGAACAGCAGCGGAGTGTGGGGTCAGGGGCCCAGCGGGGGGCACCCCGGGGAGGGGCCGCCTCCGCCAGACCCACCCCGGGTGAAAGGACGCATTGTGTGCCCGCAGCATGAGGGGAGCCTGCAGAGAGGCGTCTTTGTAGGGTCCACGAGGGGGAAAGCGCTTCCCGGCAGGCGGAGCACACAAGCCAGCCGGTGGCCACGGCCGGGACAGGCTTGTACGCAGGACATTGAGGTCCGGCGAGGATGGGGGGGCCACCAGGCCCCCGGCCCTTTGCAGAGTGTTGCTCGTTTTCTCCCACCCCAGAATTGGGCTTGGCCAACACGGCCCCCCCAACCATCCCCCCACCCCCGCCAGCTGCCCGGAGCCTCTGTGAAGATGGCGGCACCGCCCCTTGCAAACTCCATCTGCGTGGAGGTGGCACTCCTGCTCCGGGAGGGATCCCGGTGCCCAGCAGATGGCAGGCTTCCCCTAGATCAGCCCAGGGCTGGCCGCTGCCTGCGGTGCACGCCCCCGCCCTCCCCCTCCCCGCCCCGCCCCGCCCCACCCCCACCTGCCTGTGGCTGGAGGGCAGCACTGCCTGCGCGCCTCCCCACCTGACCTCCCTCTTGCCTCCCTGCCTCCTTCCAAGCAGATTTTGGTGAATCCTAAATCACGTGGATATTAACTCGCAAGTGCCTGCAAGCAGTTCTGAGGGCCGGGCTGGGGTGCACACTCACTTGGGCCAGGTCCCCCTGGTCAGGGTCAGCCAGACGCCACTCCTGCATCCTGTCCACTCTTAGCAGCCTTCTGCCTTCCCTGCTGACTTTCCGCCTCTTCTCTGGGTGTCTGGTGGGTGGAGAGGTGGAGAGCCTCCAGCACAACCTCACCCCACCCCACCTCGCGTCAGCCTCAGCCTCCCCTGAGACTACACGGAACCCAGACACGTTTGACCTCTGGCCCCAAAGCAGAGATGCCTGGCTGATGGGATGGGTGGGAGGCCTGACACAGCCAGATGCAGCCTGCTTTGTGTCATTCCTGCTCTCCCGGCGTGGACGCAGGGACCGCCCCCGGGACAGCCCAGCTGGGTCTCCAGGGTGGCTTTGTCTGGAATTTACTTTGTGAACCTCTTGCTTGTCAAAATTATTTCATAGATGATTCATGGTTATATAGAAGTGTCAGAAATAAAGAGAAGGAGCTCAGATACATGACCACCCCTGCCCATAGCAGCACCGTCCACAGTAGCCCATGGTGAAAGCGTCCAAGTTCCCCCGACGGGTGACTAGAGAAACGCGGTGTGTTCACACACATGTTCCACACACACCCAGCGGAACGTTCAGCCTTGGGAAGGCAATTCTGACACGCGCCGCAACACGGATGAGTTGAGGACGTTACGCCGAGTGAAATGAGCCAGACATAAGGGGCCAAATCTGTGTGATTCCACTTGTGTGCGACCCCTGGAGTTGTCAGGCTCAGAGAGGGAAAGATTGGGGTGCCAGGGGCTGAGGGAGGGGACGTTGGGGAGCTGGTGTTTCATGGAGACAAAGCTTCAGTTTGGGAAGAAGGAGAGTTCTGGAGATGGGTGGTGTCATGGTTGCACAAAAATAGGAATGGTATAATGCCACTGGGCTCGACGTTGAAAACGGTTAAGGTGGTGAATTTTATGTTATGGACATTTTACCACAATAAACAGAGAGAAGGAAAAATCAGTTAAGACCTTTTAAGGTGACTGGGACTGTGAGACTGGTGCACGTTTTCCCATCCTTTTGAGAACTGCCTTCTTGGATTAGGTCTGTAAGCCTGTGTAGGTTGTCCCCACCCCAGCAATTGGTCGTGAACTTCAAGCATTGGGAAATCACGTGGGAGGTGGCTGCCCAGGCTCACCTCTGCCCGGGCTGCAACAGGAGGCTCTCATGGGGCAGGTGCTGCGCTGTGGCCAGAGTGCTGGCCGGGGGCGTGGGCTCCCACCACCTGGAGCCGGCCCCTCGCTGGCTGGGCGCCCGAGACCCGTCACCGCACACGCCTTGTGAGGGCTACGGCTGCTGTCCACGCGGCTAGTTCAGGCTGAGTTGAAGCCTCCGTCCGAGCAGCTGAAAGTCAAATCTAGTCGTTAGACTCTGAAAGCTGGTTCATGTCAGAGACCTGACATGGAGTGTGGGAAAACCTTGACGGAAGCTTCCAGAGCCTGGCAAGATTAGATCAGGAAGTAACACTTTACCTAGTGAGCTTAGAAAAATAGACTCTCCCTGTTGTCTTCTGGGAACTGGGAAATCTGAGCGCAGGTTTCTGGGCATGGATGCTGCACACAGGCCTGCCCCTGGGGGTGGGCAGCAACACCCCAGCCACCCCAGGAGGGTGGGGACCCCTCGGCTGACTTTTGGGAATCCAGAGGGGGTCATTACAGAAGGGCTGGCGCTAGAGTGGCCATGAGGGTACAGTGGGTCCCTCTCCGCACCCCTTGACCCCAGTCATCTTTTCAATACCGTTCTCTGGTGGGACTTGCGAGGGCCGATGCTGAGGCTGCTCTGCTTGTGCAGAGAGGACATTCGTGTATTTGAGGATGTTCGTGTATTTGAACAAAGGTTGTAGTGTCTTGGCCTCTCGGCCTTTGGCATTGCCAGGTATCTGGGCAGAACCAGCTAGAGCTGCTGGAGAATACATGAGCAGTATCTAGAACAATTCCGAACTCCACAAGGCCAGTTTGCCATGCCAGACTGTTGGGAAGAGGCAACGACAACTCGTATTTATGACTCTGTCCATGGCAGGCAAAGCGAACCGTGGCTTTTCATCCTGGAAATACCCCAGCACAGTGTTTTTGTGGGAGCCTGTTACTCAAAGCAGGCACAGAGTGGAAAAGGGCCCGATCAAGGCCACAGTGTGGGAGCTGTCAGAGCAGGGCAGGCCCGAGGCCCAGGGCTCTGCTGAACCAACCACCAGTGAGAGGGGCTTTGATGCGTCCAGTGATAAAACCCGTCGGGCAGGTCCTGGGAGGGATTCTGGCTTTGGGGACTTTGCTGTGCTTAAGTCATGGGCAAAAGTTCCTGCGCTGGCCAATTTTGTTTTCATCGAATGTGGGGATCCCTGTTCAGGGGGCACACGGTGCTGCATTTGAGGGTCTTGAGTGGTCCTCCACATTTGGGGTGTCCTTTGGGCCATGTGGAGCCCTGAGAAGGATTGACAGGTGTTTGGGAGTTTGTGTTTGTATCTTGGACGATGGAGGAGTTTCCCTAATCATGGTGTTTTTTCAAGTTAAGAAACTTCCTTTGGAGAAGCCGTTTTCTCTTTTACTGATGAAAGGCTTCTTCTCGGCAGGAGGACTGAAGGTGCTGGGTCCTGAGGGAGGGCCTGGGGCCGGCGGGCAGGTGCGGGTTGGGGAGGGTGGCACCGTCCAGCCCAGCAGAGCCCAGAAGACGGGACCAGGCTGAGGACTTCCACGGGGCTGGCCGGGCTACACAGCACCATGCTTAGCGGGATTGGACTTTGATTTTCTGTGGCTCTAACTGATAAAACAAGCAGGGGCCTTCTAAGTTTTGCTTTGAGGTTGACTGCCAATTAAAGAGCCAACATCTGGTGCATAGGACCCTCCAGAAAAAGTCTTTTTGCCCTTAATGTTAATTTTTTCCCCTTTGTTGGAGTTGATTTGTTAAGTTGCTGGTGTGTGTTGACAACTGTTTGGTACAGAACGCAGGCACGTGCGTTCACCAGGACCCTGGCTTGCCGAGCGGGAGGTGGTCGACTGTGGACTCTGGGCGCGTTTGACTTTCAGCCATGGTCTTATGATTGGGCAGCTTCCGTCCGGTTGCTGCCCCCTCTGCCCCTTGGGCATACGCCCAGTGGAGCTTGGACCTGACTCATAGCTCTCTACAGTCGACAAAAGGAAAATGTTTCAGTTTGGGTAAATCAGCCACAGCTGGAGCCAGGGAGAGGCCCATGGGCTGGTGACTTTTCAGGGTGGTGGTGTTTGTTCAGCGTGTTGTTTTGCTCTGTGACTTTGGAGAGTGCATCAAAGGCTCGGCGGACGCCCACTTGCCGAGGAGCCACGGCCCTGGCTGGTGGCCAGGCAAGCACCTCCCAGGTAGGCGTCAGGGGAAGCATCCAAACTAGTAAATAAAACGGCTTCTGGCAGGACGTGCTATCATCCCCCTCTCCCTTCTAAACACACACACGCTTTCACAGAGAAGAACTTAGAAGTATTTCGTTTGAATCAGAAGGAAATATTGAATATCGTCTCATTCTCCCCCACCTAATTTTTTTTTTAAACCACATTCAGAATTGCTGGGCAACCTCATTTCCCCACATTTAGGATTCTTCCCTCGAAATCTCATGCAGGCGTAAAATCCGAGAGCCTCGGAGGGTTTTTCTGAGCCTCTGCATCTCCCAGCACCCCGCCCCCACCCAGCACTCATGTGTTTGTCTGCTTTAAAAGCTTCAGGATGGGAAATTCCTCACCAGCCCGTAAGCCGCTGTTTGTAGGAGCCCCTAAACTCTGTGGAACCCAAATCTCCCAGTACTGACTTAATTCCCTTTTCCCTGAGAACCAGCTCCCTGCAGCACCCAGGGTTCTGCCCGCAGAGGGAGGCTGTGGCTGGGAGTGGAAAATGCCCAGCCAGGGGCTACCTTCATGGGGACATTCCCTACCCCCATCCCCACCTTCATTCGGAAAGAGTCATGACTCCTGGTCACCAGGCAAACTTCTGTACCTGCTTATTCTGGTTTAAAAATAGGTCAGGCATGATGACTCATGCCTGTAATCCTAGCACTTTGGGAGGCCGAGGCAGGAGGAGCGCTTGAGCCCAGGAGTTCAAGATCAGCCTGGACAACATAGCGAGACCCCATCTCTATAAAAAATAAAAAATTTAGCTGGGCGTGATGGCGTGCACCTGTGGTCCCAGCTACTCGGGAGGCTGAAGTGGGAGGATCGCTTGAGCCCAAGAGGTGGAAGCGGAGGTTGCAGTGAGCTGTGATGTCACCACAGCACTCCAGCCTGGGTGACAGAGCAAGACCCAGTCTGAAAAAAAAGTAAAAAAAAAATTCCTTAAAGAAATGCTTATTCCCCGCTCCCACCCAGACCGAGACGCTCTGGAACAATTTTCTCCAGTGCTTGAGTTTGGGATGAGGGCCTGGAAAGACCATCCAGTCTCCTGCCCCTGGTGGGCAGCCAGTTCTGCCTTGGGCAGCGACACTGGGCACAGCCCGTGACCCATCCTGGCCCTGATCTCTTCTGGCTCTCAAGGGAGGTTCTGTGGCCCCACCTCAAAATTCAGGGTCCCTCTGTGGAAACAAAACATATCCCAGATGGATTTGCTACAAGGCCATCCCGGGAAGGGAGCCAAGTAAACACAGCAGCAGAGACCGGAGGGCGCGAGGGGACGGCTGACCGCAGTCCAGCTCCTCCCATGCATCACGCCCTCCCACCGGCCCGGCCTCAGGCTTCTCGTTCACCCCCATCTTCCCGTGGACCTGATCGGAGGTGTCATCTCCCGCTGCGGGCTGAGGCTCTGAGGAGGGCCGGGTGTGTAGAGCCTTCCTTGGAAGGGAAAACCCAACCAGGATGTTGGTTTCCGAGAGGAAGCCCGTTCACCCACCATGGTGGCTCTGCCCTTTAATAAGAGGCAAAGAACTCGGGTGCTGCGGGTACTGGTCACTCTGTCAGGGCAGACATACCCCTTGCCGTTCATCCTTCAAAGGCCAGGCTTCGGCAGGGGGCGGCACGTGTGGTCTCTCTTTGGCCTTTTCTGGTGGAAGGTCCTGGGGTAGGGAGTCCTCACGTGGTTGCTCTGCAGGGAGGGGCCCTCCAAAAATAATCCCGGGGCCTCTTACCCACCACTGCAACGCTGACGATACTGCACTGAGGAATCCACTCTTGAGCTTTGCTTTGAAACGCTGCACATTTGCGTCTGCCCAGACTTCTGTCTAAGAGGTGCTCAGAGATCACCTTGCGTTTATGAAGCGAACGTGGCCTTGGGATATAGACCTGGGGCCCCAAGTCCAAGACCAGTGAATAAAGTGAGAGATGGCTTTGCCCCAAGTGGGTGAGGTGGACCCAGCACCCATGCTTGCCGCCTCCTGCCCTCCCTCCCGCACTTTGGGACCACGAGGAAATTGGCACTGCAGTGATTCATGCAGCTGCTAATCAAAAGCTTTTATTTCCTGATTATCTCTCCGTTTGAGGGATGGCAGATGCCAGTGCAGTCAAAATATAAACAGATTCTAGTCAGGACCTTTCAAAGCAGACACCAGCCGTTCTGAAGAGCGGAGGGCCGCGCCCCTTATGCCGCCTGGCAGAAGAGTTTCGTTGGGAAAAATGGTTTTTCATAACCTTTCTGCTTTCTTATTTAAATTAAGCTTTGCCGGGAGAGTTTGGTAGTAGCAGAGGGCCCCTGATTTGGTCCCCTTTGACCTCCACAGCCTTGATTGGCAGTTTGTTGTGGGCATTGAAGTTGTGGCTGCGAGGTGGGAGCCAGCAGAACAAATACTCTAGGACAGCTGGGCATCCCCGAGGACCCAGCCGAGGGGGGAGTGTGCGCAATTAGAGAGGTCTTCACACAGAAAGTTAATTAGCTACTAAATGGCATTTAGCACAGTTTATGAGAATTGCATGTTTGAAAAGCAAATGGAGATCAATGCGGAATGGCTGCCACCGGATGGGGACCCTTGGACCCAGCACCAGTCTCAGGGCCTGGGATGCCCCCCACCCCGAGCGTGAGTGCCAGGCCAGTGCCCGCTGAGACTGGACTGGGAGATGCTCCTCGAGGACCTGCCTGGCCTTGGGGGGCAGTCCTGCTTCGCACCCACAGCCGAGCTTCCCTGTCCAAAAAAAGTGAGTAAACACGTCTTCAGTTTCGGGGAACTGTGTCTGCCGTGGCCTGGATAGTGACTCCCTTCCCCGCAAATTCATGGCCACTCAGAACCTCAGAATGTGACTTTATTTGGAAATAGGGTCTTTGCTGATGGGATCAAGGGAAGGATCCAGTTGAGGTCTTCCTGGATTAGGGTGGCCCTAAATCCAACGGATGTCTTTAAAAGACACGGACGGACACACAGACACAGGAGGGGCAGGGAGATGGAGGCAGAGATGGGAGTGATGCTGCTGCAGGCTTGGGGGCTTCCAGGATCCAGGACGAGCACCTCCAGCTGGAAGAGGCAGGAAAGACTCTTGCCTGGAGCCTTCAGAGGGGGCGCGGCCCGACTAGCACCTTGACTTTGACCTCCAGAACTGCCAGACAATACATTTCTGTTGTTTTCAAGCTTCTGGTCTGTGGTCCTTCATTACAGCAGCCCTGGGAAATGCTGTGTCACCACCAAAACGCAGCCCCCAAAACATAGCCCCAGCTCCATCGCAGGGCTGTGTCCGAAGCTGGAGGATGGTGGGGTGGGTGGGGGGGAGCCAGAGGGAGGCCTTAGGACCTGCTTTTTGTTTCTGTTATGATCTGAGGTCTGACTTCAGTGTGGTCTTTTCACCTGCTTGTCTTAGTTCCCTGTTGATCCTATGGAGGGATTGCTTGGGGCTATTTTTGTTTTGGGGAGGGTGGTTTTTGCTCTTTTTAACTGTTTTTTTTTTTTTTGCCTTTACTGTTTTCCATGTTTTGGAGGGCTTTTGTTTGTCTCCTTTCCTTCCTTCCTTCCTTCCTTCCTTCCTTCCTTCCTTCACTCCCTCCCTCCCTCTTTTCTTTCTCTTTCTTTCTTTTTCTTTCTTTCTCTCTCTCTCTTTCTTTCTTTTTAATTATAAAAGTAGCACCTGCTCCTAAGGAAATTCTGGGAGATAGGGAAAAGACAAAAGAAGGGTGTGAAGCCCCACCATACCCAGCTCACCACCGTTAACTTTTTGGTGTATTTCCTTCAGCCTTGTGTTTACTTTTATTTTTTATTTTTGCTTCCGATGCCTAAGTTATTTTACAGAGTTGTAGACAGGCAGGCTGTATATAAAATTCACTTTCTTGGTTTAAAATTTTTTTTGATTTTAGGCCAGGCACAGTGGTTCACACCTGTAATCCCAGTGCTTTGGGAGACTGAGGTGGGAGCATCACTTCAGGCCTGGGCAACATTGTGAGATCCCATCTTTACAAAAAAGTATTGAAAAATTGGCTGGGCGTGCTGGCAGATGCCTGTGGTCCCAGCTACTTGGGAGGCTGAGGCAAGAGGATGGGCTTGAGTCTGGGAGTTCAAGGTCAGCCTGGGCAACAAATGAGACCCCCGCCCCCCCACCCCGCCATCTCTGTAAAAAATACAAAATAAATAGTCAGGTGCTGTGGTGCCTGCCTGTAGTCCCAGCTACTCAGGGAGGCTGAGGAGGGAGGATCCCTTAAGCCTGGGAGATCAAGGCTGCAGTAAGCCGAGATCATACCCCTGCACTCCAGCATGGGTGACAGAGCATGACCCTGTCTCTAAATAAATTTAAATTTTTTTTAAATTTTGTCATATTTGATACATGCCAAAGAATATTTGTAGCATGTAAACCATGAAACACAATCATAAATGAACCCCGTGACCCAGCGCCCCCTGTGTCTGAACTAGAGCTTCCTAGGAGGCCAGTGCTCCACTCCTTCCTCCCCAGTCTGGTCGTTCCGTGCCCCGGTCTCCAGAAGGAACCACCTTCCGGAATGCCGTGGGCGGCACTTCCTTGCTCTCCTAAAGCAGGCTTTGCACACATGTGCACTTCTCAACATTCTGCCTTGCTTTGAGCCCTAGGAAAGCGTCCCCGTCTTTGTAGCCGTCGGTGGCTCAGCTCCCCGTGCCTGAGGTGCTGCGGGTGCTCACTCCAATAGGGGGACACTGTCTCCATGGCTGTTCCCCAGGTTGTCCACACTCCTGTTGATGACCATGTGGTTTAGTTTGGGTTTTTCTCTGTGAATGATGTCACCTTGACAGCTTCTGTGCACACCTTTGGTGCAGAGGGACAGGAGCCCCTCCGAGGGGCCCCTGGGCCCTGCAATGTGCACTCAACCTCCTAAGACACACCGACTGCATTTCCTGGGGTGGGGCCAGCTGAGAGTCCCTGAGATTACATGGTCTGTCTTGCCATTCTCAATTCATGCCCTGCCATAAACCCCTCCCGCGCTGCCACGTCTTCTGAACCGCCACTGGGTTTCACGCCTGCACAGCGGCCTGTTGGTGAGGGACGTAGCATTTCACTTGCCCATGCCCCTTCCATGGACATGGAGCTGTTCCCGGCTTCCCGCTTGTCCTTGATGAACACGTCTGTGCTTGGAGCTCTGCACACAGAGGCTCGGGGTGGATGCGTGTGCACACACACAGGGATTCCGCACAAACGTGGATGACGCAGGTTCAGTATTTACGTGTACACACATATGCATGCACAAAGAAGTTCAATGTCATATTATTTATTTTACAAAAAAGTGGAATGAGTAACATCCCAATTCTTGCCTACAGGGAATTTTTTTGTTTTGTTTTGAGACAGAGTCTTGCTCTGTCGCCCAGGCTGGAGTGCAGTGACGTGATCTCGGCTCACTGCAATCTCCGCCCCCTGGGTTCAAGTCATTCTCCTGTCTCAGCCTCCCGAGTAGCTGGGATTACAGGCACCGGCCGTTACACCCGGCTAATTTTTGTATTTTTTTTTTTAGTAGATGCGGAGTTTCCCCATGTTGGCCAGGCTGGTCTCAAAGTCCTGACCTCAGGTGATCCACCTGCCTCAGCCTCCCAAAGTGCTGGGATTACAGGCCTGAGCCACCACCACGCCAAGCCTCAGGGAATGTTTAAAGAGATGCACGGTACCTGTACACACGTGCACACACAGGTTCGGTGTATTGTGTGCAGACGTGAACACACAAAAGTTCAATGTGATATTATTGACTTTACAGAAAAATGAAGCTGGGCACAGTGGCTCAGGCCTGTAATCCCCCTACTTTGGGAGGCTGAGGTGGGTGGATCACGAGGTCAGGAGTTCAAGACCAGCCTGGCCAACATGGTGAAACCCCGTCTCTACCAAAAATACAAAATTAGCTGGGCTTGATGGCGGGCGCATGTAATTCCAGCTACTCAGGAGGCTGAGGCAGGAGAATTGCTTGAATCTGGGAGGCAGAGGTTGTGGTGAGCCGAGATCGTGTCACTGCACTCCAGCCTGGGTGATAGAGTGAGACTCGGTCTCAAAAAAAAAAAAAGAAAAAAAAACCACACAAAGAAAAACGACAATGGAAACAACCCAAGTCTTTGTCTATAAGGAATGTTTAGAGAAAACGTGGAAGCGGCCCTCAAAAAGAGGTGCAGCTTATCCCTGCATACCGACAGGGCTAAGGCCCTGGATATAGTAACTGAAAAATTCCAGGCGTAACACAATGTTGACAGCACAATCTCACTTTTGCTTTAATACATGTGCATGTGTGTGTGTGTGCGTGTGTGTGTGCGCACAGGGAAGCCCCGGAGGGCCGCGTCCTGCTGTTCCCTGGCGCGCCCTTGGAGGAGTGGGATTGAGGTTGGGCCGAGGCTGCTGCTGCAGGGACGGATGTGGGTCTGCTTCGTGCCCGTGGCAGGTTCAGCGTTATGTGCAGTGAGCACGTTCTTGCTGAGATTACAGAAGAGCCGAGGGAGCCGCTCCGAGGGTGGCGCGTCCCTTGCCTCCGGTGTGGGAGGTGCTTCTTTGACTGTAGCCCTCCCAGCTTTGGAGGTTTGGCCTCCCCGCTTTGGAAAACGAAGTGTTGCTGGTAGGATGGCTTAAAAATCATGTTCATGCGCATTTCTTTATCACCGACGATCTTGAATATGTCTCTGCGTGCTTGTTCACCTGGTGTCTTCTTTTGTGAAGTGTGTGCCAAAGAAGGAAGGGGTTAAACTTGTCGGGGGCACCCAGAGCTTCCCTGGCTTCCTCCCTTCTCTCCGGAAAGCTCTGAGGAGGTATTAGAGGATTGCTGGAGGTGGAGGCCCGAGGCCTTCTCCCAGCAGGGCCCGGGCAGATGGAGGGTCTAAGAACATACCCGCCGCTGGTGAACAGCCATTTTGCTCTAAGAATTTTCTGTCGGCCAGGGCCCCAGTCCTGGTTTGCGTCAAATCCTCTGAGCCGGGCCAAGCAGTGCATTGGTGCGGAAGATGCTGGCTCCCCTGAAACTAGGCCCAGGGGATGGGAAAAGCCGAGTGGAGATTAAGGAGGGAGCGAGGAAACGATGCCTAAACAAGTTCTGTCCTTCCGTCACTGCTGCCACGAGGGGCTAGATACAGAATTCAGCTTTGCTGTGACAAGTGTGTGGATGGAATTTAAATGAATATAAATGAGTAGCCAAGGTCTTATCAAAGGATGTTGGTGATTGGTATCATGACTGTTTGCCCTTTGGGGTTGGGGTGCTGGAGAGTACCCACCAGTTCCCTCAGGGCCTCCCGGGGCCCAGGTCACGTCACAACCCCTAGCCATGGTCCCAGCAGCTCCCGGTCAGCTCTGGCTCAACTCACAGGCTCCCCTTCCAGCCTGCAGGAACAGTAACGGGGACCAGGGCACAGATTCGGGCAGTCCCAGGTGTGCCACTGAGTCCGAGAAGATTTTTGGGAAGCACCAGTCAGTCCTGCACGTTACGTCTCTGCTGTTGGGGTGCGCGGAGGCGGTTCGAGTGAACCCTGGGGGGCTGAAAGGCGGGACCAAGCCATGTGGGATGTCACAAAGCCCAGCAGCTCAGAATCTAGAAGGTTCTGGCTTTCTGTTCCCCGTTCCTGCCACCCACTGTGTCTCTTCGCCAGTCCCTACACTGTCTGCACCACAGTGTCCTGGTTAGGGAGAGGAACAGACTGGGCCTGGTGATCTTCAGGGTCCTCCAGGGCCTGCGGGTTCTGTGTCTTTTTCTGGACAAACCCTGGTTACACCACCCCACAACGTAGCGGCCCAGACTCCCACTGCATGTTCCCCTGGGAACCTCTTCTTAGTGTCTTGTTCCTCCGGGAAGGAAGGAAAGCTCCGGCTTGTTAGGCGGAATTTGCTGACCCTACATGGTGGTCAAGAAGCCCGTGCCGTGAAGCCAAGAGAGAAGGGGAATTTGGGCTGCAAGCCTGAAAAAGAGTTCATGAAATTTAATCAGATGCCTAAGGGGAACACCTAAATTTAGTCAAATTATTATCAGTATTCACTCCATTTTTAAATTGCCTAGGGGAACGTCACGGAAAAGTTGGGAAGCCACCAGCCTGGGTGGTGATTATTCTGTTTCTGCAGAGCAGTGGGATGCGCTGGGAGGCTCGGAGGCCCAGATGAACCTCGCGGCCACCCTCCACGGCACGGTGAGCTGCTCCTCCAGGTGCAAGGATGGGCTGCCCAGAGGGTCTGGGGAGGCACCGGTGCCCACAGCCGTGTTGGGCAGGCCTGAGGGCTTCTTGTGTTTGGCCATAATGGATGTGTCTGGGACCTGGACCTTGGCCTCCTGCGCCCCAAGCTCTGGCCCGCAGAGCCCACCACCTGGAAGCCAGAGCCCACCCATAGCAAGGCCTCTGTCTGTGAAGACCCCTCCCCTCCTTGCTACTTGGTTATTCTCTGGCCTCAGTCTCTGCTTGGTTCTCTAGTCAGGGTGAGCTTTTGGTGGATGTGAAGGGAGACCAGGGTCCTTTCCTGCTCCTAGTGAGAACCGTGGGATTTGCGGCCTGACAGGTTACATTCCTTTCCGGGCTGATGTCCCAGCTGTGTTTGCAGGAAACAGTGAAGGTCGACGTGTGCCTTTTTATGGCACCGAATAACCTGGACCTGCGACAGGAACCGTGAGCGTCTTTCTGTCCCCTAAAAGTATTTGGATACTAATTGACTGTTTGGTCCTGCAGAGATGACACAGGGACGTCTTCACGCCCAGATGCATTTGCAGCTATGCGGTCCTCCCGCCTCCCGCTTCAGGCCTCTCCCATCTCCCCTGGGTTTCCACACAGTGTCGCAGCTTCACCTCGAGAGGGCCACGTGATTGGCGGCACTGGGGATGCCTGAGCCCTTGATCCCTCTGCTGGGGTCCAGGGCGTGGGTGTGCATCCCTGGAGCGTGTGTGCTCTGGGCGTGGGTGTGCGTCCCCGGAGCGCGTGTGCTCTGGGCGTGGGTGTGCATCCCCGGAGCGTGTGTGCTCTAGGCGTGGGTGTGCGTCCCCGGAGCGTGTGTGCTCTGGCCTTCCCTGCCCAGCTCCTATGGCTCCTCCTTTCCCTAGGTTGGGCAGAATCTCCCAGGTGTGCTGCTGATGGACAGGCTGAGAGCGTGGAGCCCACGAGGGCGCTTTGGTTTAGAATCATCTCATTGGTTTGCCCACGTTAAGCTCCTATAAAATCTAGGGGAAAAAAAATAAACATTCTTTTTGGGTTCAGAAAAATCTCTTGGCTGTTTTCTTCCCAGTAATGTGTATTTCAAGGACGAAGTCGAGAGGGAATGAAAACAGAACGATTGGCTCTCAAAAGCCTGGTTCAGGAGCAACTGGGAGTGGTCTCTAGACTGCTTGAGCTATTAATTATTTTGCTTTATTTATTAGATGTACCCAGCGTCCCTTTGCCTCCAAGCATATTTGCAAATGCCTTAAGGGAAAAAGAAAAACAAATGATTCCTGCCATCAGAGTCTCCAGCCCTTAATGAATAACACCGTGTAATCACGCTGAATGGAAAAAGCCCAGTACGGCATCACGTGCACGTCCTGAGTCTAAGTCGTCACAGTCGTAAATGCACGGGACCCACGGAAGCTCAGAAACTCGTAACAGCTGTGAGATCTGTTCAGTGGAATTTTTCTTAATTTCCCTGGGAAATCCACAAGGTCACTCCATATGACTAAGAAAAAATTAAAACAGAAACAGCACTCAAAGGCCTGGTACATTCTCTCCTCCTACCTGCCGCGGATTGTTGCCCGCCCGCCACGGCCCCCACCCCGCCCCCACGGCTGGCAAAGGAACAGAAGAAAGGCCGGGCCTGGTTATCTTTTCCTAAACCGTGCTGGTAATCAACCTGAAGGATGTGCCTGCCCGCTTCCTCCCAGTGATTTACACCTTCCCTAATTAGCCGTGATGTTGCAGATCGGCAGAGTTAATCGCCGGAGCGGAGACCCTGCCTTCCCAGTTCCCAGCAGCTCTGGCTCTGGGAGTGTGCCGCCCATGCCGCGAGGAGCTGCGATTCATCCCCGCCCCGCTTGGCCCTGTATTTTCCGGCCTTGCTGCTCCCAGTCCCTCTGGCTGGAAAAGCCAGGCTGTCTCGGTGCATGCGGGATGTCGGCGCTCCCGAGCTCGACCGTGACCATGGGGCAGGTTCTAGGCCTGGGATGGCAGAATCCGGCCGGCTGTGCGCCCATCACTTAACATTGCCACTTATGTCAGAAATGGCAGCTTGAGCCTAATAGAGCCAGCTTCCCGTGGGCCCCCCTCAGCATCCAGGCCTCTGAAAAGCTTAGGGGTCCCACCCCGGCAGCAGAAGGCACCGCAGTCGCCGAGGCTTTATTGCTCTGCCTCTTCGAACTGGCAGCCGCATCAATCGCCCTCCCGTGCACAGCCGGCTGGGCTCTGCGAGCAGACTCCAGAGCTGGGTCTGGCTGCCTCTGTGGTCAGCGGGAAGCTGGCAGAGTCCAGCCTCTCGGCTGGATGAGTCCAGTACCGCCGTGTGCACATGTGTGTGTGATGCTAATTATGCCAGACGTGCTTCAGTTTTGCTGGGAACAGTTAGCTTACTGTGCATTTTAGAAACTGCCAGGATTTTAGAGCCTAATGGGGTTCCTAGAGATCGTAGCGTCCAGCCAACTCATCGCCGTCTCACAGGTGGGGGAAGGAAGGTGCGGAGAGCTCTCTCTCCTCCGTCACCCCCATCCTGCTGCGTGCCAGGCCCTGTGGGGCAAGGGTTGCAGAGATGGCTGAGACATCACCCTTGCCTGGGGGACCAAGACACACCAGTGGGTTGCAGATGCTGGGAAGGGGCCAGGTGGAGGGATGAGGCGTCAGGGAAGGTGGTCTCTGCCTCGTTGGAGTCAGAGACCCGGAGGTGGAGGCTGCTGCTCCACACGGACCCCTTCCCATCCCATCCCCTCCTCAGCCTTGTAATCTGTGTGACCTGCACGTCCCTGTGCACCGGGCCGTCTCTGGGATGGGGCGGGGCTCCATGCATCTTCCCTTCTCTTCGCTTACTGAGGGTGGTGGAGGCAGTGGGGCTTCAGGAAAGCTTTGGACGTTGGGCTGGGGTTCGCCTCGTTGGGGAAGGCGTGAAATGACCCAGGCAAAGTAGGATATTCTGGTGGACGGATCACTGAAAAGGAT